>NT_187644.1:0-184499 GCF_000001405.40 Homo sapiens | reverse complement strand
GAATTCCCCATGAGTCCTGTGACCTCAGCCCACACGGGGACCTACAGGTGCTACGGCTCACTCAGCTCCGACCCCTACCTGCTGTCTCACCCCAGTGGCCCCGTGGAGCTCGTGGTCTCAGGTGAGGGCGCTGACCCTGTCCTCTCTGAGCTCAAAGGCTCAGCTCAGGCCCTGCCCCCAGCAGAGCTCTGGACACTAAGGAAAGAGGGGAGTGAAGGGAGAGGGTCCGCAGGGGAGGGTCCAGCCCATGGGAAGATGGAAATAGACAGGGACCTCCCACCCCTGGCTCCCACCCCTGAAGTCTCAGTAGAGTAAAGTGCAGGGAGGGCTGGGAGGAGACGGGGGGTGAACCTCAAAGGAGTTGAGATTAGACTGAGGGTGGAAGACGGAGGCCCCACCTGCTCCCATCCTGGTGTCTCCACCTCAGAATCAGAGCCTCTGTGTCCCAGTCCCCAACAGACGCCCTCCTGGAGAGAGAAGCATCCAGGCTGCCGGTGCCACCTGCATCCACCCCCGACCCCCCCCCACCCCGCCCCACTTCCTGCTTTCCCCTGCAGCCTCCCCAGCACTCAGCGCACACCTGAGCCTCACAGGGACTTGCACGTGCTCCCGCAGCAGCTCAGGGAATGTGCACCGCTCCTCTTCTGCGCCGTTGACATTTTTTATTTGGGTTTTTAAAATCTCATATTGGCCTTTTTGTCCAAGCTGGTGAAAGTAGATTTGCAGCATCACCTATTTTTATTCTCACCCGGTTTCGTAATAGCCCTGATCTCACGTGCTCCCTGAGGTTTTGTAAACTTCAGGTAGAAATGTGGACTTCCTTCGTTCTGGACATTTGCTATGGAGGGGGTAGGGCTTATCTTTTCAGAAAAAGTCAAATGACTGGTACCACTCCTTGAAACCCTACAGCACTTTCCAGACCTCAGAGGGAGGGAGAGAGAGGCAGAGACAGAGACAGAGAGACAGAGAGAGAGATATTGGGGCCGCTCTTTCCTGGCCGGTTCATCCTGGCCTATTCTCAATCCACCAAGGCCCCGAAGCTCATCTCCCCTCCTCCTCTGCCTCCTCCTCCACCCTGTAGACAAGCGGCCATTCCTTTCTGAAGAACAGGCTGAGACCTTTCTGGGACCTGCTCTTTCTGGAGCCTCTGTTGCTCCCTGTCTGGGTCTCCACACGCCTCCTTCCTGGCCCTTTTTCCTATTGAGGAATCAGCTTCAATGTCACCTCCAAGTGTGACCTTCACTGACGACACAGCTCAGCCCAGTCCTGCCTGCTTCTCATTTATGTCAAGTAATTAACCAACCTACACCATGCGGCTGAATTCCTTCTCTCTCTCTTCCACTCTCTGCATATACGTGTGTGTGTGTGTGTGCGCGTGTGTGGTCACACCAACATCTTACGTGACATTGAAACCTAGTTATCCGTATATCTATACAAATAATATATATTCACACATAAATATAGGTCTCTACCAATATATCTAAAACCATTGCTACGACTAGTAAATTTCCACTGCTGTGTTTCTATATGTTTGCTGTTTGTCTCCAGGTGAACCCACACTTCAAGAAGGCAGAGATAGTTTTTAAGGCCCACTATATATATAAAACAGATATATATTTGTGTTTGTGTTTTTCTGTGTGTGTATCACATTCTACCTGTTGCTGCCTATACGAATAATTAGCTACCTAGAGATTAAATGGACAATGAAACTCCAGGTGAAGTGGCTGAGGGCATGAAGGGGAGGCAGCCCCAGAATTTCACCCCTTTGTGCTTCTGACATTGAGGCTCCCCTGATGACTAACCCTCATCCACGGAGCCTGGGTCCTCAGCTGGTGGATCCGTGAAACTCTCATCTCCGGGGGAGTTGGCTCATGTTCTCCTGTGTCCCAGGCTGCACAGAGAGCACACAGGCCTTAGTGACCTCTGTACTGGGGACCACTTTCCTTGCAGATCCTGAGCTCTCAGGATGCAGGAAAACTCTCTCCCAGATGACTCAGGAGCAATGTTTAAATCCATAGAACACAGGAAAACTGAAATCGTTCAATGAGGAGACTAGAGGGAATCCTGCTAGCGGAGGAAGAGGTTTTTTTTTTTTTTTTTTAGAAATTCTGTAAAAGTCACATCATGAGACATTAAGTAATAAAAAAAAAATTGCAGAGCCCAGGTGAGAGGCTGGGCTCAGGTCTCTTTTTCTCTGTTTTGATTCTCTGGAGCAGCTGATACCCTCAGCCCATCACAAAACAAGTCTGACTCTGAGACTGGTATGTGAGGAGATACTCTCAGTGATGGGGCTGGCACTGAGGGTTGGGTCCTGTGAAGGGGAGGTGGGTGCCCTGGGTGGACAATCTGATCCACCCTGACCTCTGTGACCTCTTTGTCCACCATCCCCAGCCTCACACCTTCAGGATTACGCAGTGGAGAATCTCATCCACATGGGCGTGGCTGGCTTGATCCTGGTGGTCCTCGGGATTCTGTCATTTGAGGCTTGGCACAGCCAGAGAAGCTTCCCAAGATGCAGCCGGGAGGTGAACAGCAGAGAGGATAATGTACTTTATAGAGTCGTGAAGCCTCAGGAACAGATCTGATGATCCCAGGAGGTTCTGGAAGAAAATCTAGGGCCGATGCTATCTGGACTGTCTGCTGGTCATTTCCAGAGGAAGGAATCAATGTCCGAGTGCAGGGACATTTTCTGGGGTGATCCATGGAGAACCATTAAAATGTGATACCTTTCCTCTCCATTAATGTTGACTTTCCTTGGTTGGATCTGCCTCTTTTCCCACACTTAGACATGAGGCTCCATCCCACATGGCAGCGTTGGGTCCACACCTCTGCACACCTGCATGCTCTGGTCCATGGCGTGTCACACAGTCCTCTTCATTTCTCATTGCCACACTTCCTGGTGTACTTTACTGGGTCTTCATGTCTTCAGTTCAGAGTTCCGCACCTGGTTTAGGAACTAATTCAACGGGAGAAGATCAGAGTCCGACCAGGAAAAGATAAATGCACCGTGATGCCCTCACCTCCTGTGTGGACCCTATGAGCTCTTCCCTCCTTATCAGATGCTATCTGTGTAGTTTCTCCTGAAATATCACCACCTGGAATCAACACACTGGCATTTGAAGTCACGACCCAATGGTATGCTAATTCTGAAAAAGACATTTTTTGAAATGCTATGATTAGTGGCATTTACCAATTTCCTTGACGTAAATTCTTTTTTCATGGCCATAATCAAGATGCCAACGAGACATCCCTGAATGCAGGGTTGGGAAGCGTTGGACAGACTTGTCTTCACTCATAAGCACCAGGCATCTGATAGCTCACGTATACATCTTATTACCTTCCATTTTAGAGTGAATAATCATTTCTACTTCAGTATTTTGGCACAGGTAAAAGCAGTCCCATTACTGCGCGTATACCCAAAGGAATATAAATCATTCTATTGCAAAGATACATGCACACATGTGTTCATCGCAGCACTATTCACAATAGCAAAGACATAGAATCAACCCAAATGCCCATCAATGATAGACTGGATAAAGAAAATGTGAGACATATACACCACGGAATACTATGAAGCCATAAAAAGAAACAAGATCATGTCCTTTGCAGGGACATGGATGGAGCTGGAAACCATTATCCTCAGGAAACTAACACAGGAACAGGAAATCAAACGCTGCATGTTCTCACTTACAAGTGGGTGCTGAACAATGAGAATGCGTGAACACAGGGAGGGGAACAACACACACTGGGGCCTGTCGGGGGGGGGGTGGGGTAGGGGTAGGGAGAGCATTAGGAAAAATAGCTAATGTATGCTGGGCTTAATACCTAGGTGATGGGTTGACAGGTGCAGGAAACCACCATGGCGCACATTGACCTATGCAATAAGCCCACACATTCTGCACATGTACCCCGGAACTTAAAATAAAAATAAAAATTAAAATTAAATTATGACACCATGATCCTAGCATATCCAAAAAAGACAAAAATGCCAATATCAAATGTCGGAGAAAATAGGGCTGAATTAAAAATCCAATACAACGCCGGGCGCAGTGGCTCACGCCTGTAATCCCAGCACTTTGGGAGGCCAAGGTGGGTGGATCACTTGAAGTCAGGAGTTTGAGACCAGCCTGGCCAAACGTGGTGAAACCCTGCCTCTACTAAAAATACAAAAATTAGCCGGGTGTGGTGGCACTCGCCTGTAGTCCTAGCTACTAGGGAGGCTGAGGCAGGAGAATCACTTGAACCCGGGAGGCGGAGGTTGCAATGAGCTGAGATCATGCCACTGAACTCCAGCCTGGGTGACAGAGCGAGACTCCGTCTCAAAAAAAAAAACAAAAAAAAAAAACCCTCAAAAGCTCAGGCAGCAAAAGCAAAAATAGGCAAATGAGATCATAGCAAACTGCAAACCTTCTGCACAATCAAGGAAACAAACAGCAGAGTGAAGAGACCACCTACAGAATGGGAAAGAATATTTGCAAGCAAGAGATTAATCTCCAGAAAATACAAGGAGCTCAAACAATGCAGAGGTTTTGAAGGATGGTGATGAGAAGGTTCTGCTACTTACAGAAAGGAAGTTTAGGAGAAACAAAACCACAAACCTAGGTGGTGGGATGGCTTGATCTGCTTCTGTCTGTGACTCACTTAACAGTCTTAAACACATCTCCCTAAGCCTCCTTCCCCCGGTGGGATTCCTGGGTCTTGTGAGGACCTCATCGGTCCCTCTGGTAAACCCAGGCACAGAGTGGAGCAGCTCTTGTTTTCTCAGGATCTTCCCCTTCACATACAATTAACGCACCCACACGATGCTACTCTTAGAACCCTTCAAATAAATGTTTCCCGGTTCATTCACTACCAGAATCCAAGCTCAGCTTGTTCCCCAGCTTAGGACTGAGTGGTATCTTGGAGGTAGTTTCCACCATAGCCCCCTTCCTCTGCTATAAGGCTCAGTGACACACCAGAGACACCCCCTCCAGCCAGGCTCCTGGAAGGTCTGGATGAAGACTGGGATGCTGAGGCATTGCTCAGCAATGTGGCTTAACTCAAACTTCTATGTGAAACTTCCAACCACTTTCAGCAAGGGGTCACTTCCAGCGTCTTGGGGTGTGAGGGCACTTTGGTTGGTCCCTGCAATATCAGACCCTATAAAGATCCTACAAACATGTTGCAGACTCTTTGAAGATTCTGGCACTTTCAGACATGCTGTTGGGAAATGGTGACACCCATAACCTTCTAGTTCCAGGACAGGGAGCCTTAGCCCAGGGCTATGTTTTCTGAGGGTCCTCAAAGTAAACAGTTCTATGTGCCAGGAGAACCCTAAATCTCATATGGTTCTAAGGGCAGAAAGCCACACACGCACCGGCAAAAAGCAAGAGATTCAAGGAAAAGCTGAGCAAAGACAGACAGGAAAACACACACATGATGAGCCAGCTTGTAGAGCTAGAACTGAGATGGAGAGAGGCACGAGTGGGTAACAGAGTGTGCTCCCCAGAACAGGTGGAGAGAATGCCTTTTTCATGCCCTGAGGATAGGCTGGGTAAGGCTTGTGCTCGACAGTCAAGGACTATTTTTTTCCCCAGGCGTCTACAAGAGACCTTCCTTCTCAGCTCAACTGTGCCCTGCAGTAAGTAATGATGGAGAGAATGTGACTTTGCTCTGCAGCTCTGGAAGCTCATTTGACCTGTGCCTTCTAACGAGGAAGGTAAGGCCCCTGGACACTGGCTCACTGGGGTGCAGAGACAGAGTGGGGCATTCAGGCCAACTTCTCTCTGGGTCTTGGGGCTGGTGATGGGACCTCTAGATGCTGCAGCTCTCTGTCGATGGCTCTGCCTGTGAGTGATCAGCCCTAGATGACCACTGTTACTGGGGGTAGCCCATGCCTGCTGCATGCCCTGTGAAACACTAAATCATATAGCCACGTCTGAGGGACAGCCTGCTGGAGACATGGGAATCTTAGGGATTCCAGACAAAATGAAGCAATGAGAAACACAAAGAGGAAAAGAGAGGTTGAGTATGACAGTGGTGTCAGGGTGTAGGGTGGTAGACAGGGCAGCTCCACACTCTCCACTGCTTCCTGTCTGGAGGCCCACTTTGGGGTCCTACTTATCCAGGTGAGTGAAGGAAGAGGTCAGGACAAACACAGGAGGTGAAGCCAGATACAGTGTGGGGAGATAAGCAGTGGCCTCAGCCTCTAGCCCTTTTCCATCTTCCAGAAGCCCCTCCTGAGCTCTCATCACAGACAGATTTCCCATTTGGAAACCCAGATATTTATCATGCCGGGGGGGGGAGGCAATGTCTCTTGATTATGGGGACTTTCCATCACCAGGCACCTGCTAGTCCTCTCTATACCTTCCCTTCAGGAAAGGAATTGTCCCTCATGGGATTCCAGGGAAGAGACCCCAGGACCCCTATCAGTCACTAGGGAGATGACAGAGTAGAGGAAGTCAGGGGACCAACCCTCCACAGAGAATGGTCCTACTTCAGTGGGGTGAGGGAAACTCTCACTCATCCATTTGCTGTCCTGTTACCTCGGAACCCTAAGAGAACTTGTTAGTCACACACAGAATCTACCCCTGAATGTGGTGTGCAAAGTGGGGCTCTTAGCCTCCAGTGTGAAGTCCCTGGGAAGATGGAATGTCCCTGTGTGAGTGAAGGCTGTGCCACCGCCCAGCTATGTGGCCTTGGGCTAGGCAACCCCTCCCAGGTCCCCAGTTCCCCATCTGCATCGGAGACTGTGGCCAGTGCGGGAATCCACAAGGCCCTTCAGCCTCCAAAGCTCTGGGACAGAGGCCTCGTCCACAGGGAGGAAGGGGTCAGAGTGACCTGAGTCCCTACTCAGGAGCGAGTCTAATCCACTCTCCATCGGGGCCTGTGGGGAAGGGAAGATGAAGAAACGGAGCCTGCACCTGGCTATGTGGGCGCAGTAGATTAAGGGGAGGATGAGGGTTCCTGAGAGTGTGTCATGTGGCAGAGACCCTGCAGCACACTCAGGAAGGGCTCTGGAAGGATCCAAGGAAATTTTCCAAGAAGAGGGCAGAGTAAGTGACAGAGACCCTCAACCATGGATTTCACTGAGGTGCCCATGATGACATAGGGAGAACGGGGGTGTCTGGGCAGGAAGAATATCGTCAGGGTGAAATGAATGGTGATGAGCTTCGTGTCAGAGCTCCTGTGGAGGGAGGGGCCTGGCCCACATGAAAAGGTCTCTGATCCTACCCCAGCCCCCAGCCCCTGTTCTCCAGGATGACACTGTGGGAATTCCATCAGGAGGGGTGTGATAGGGCTGGTCTTCCTGGCTCGATTCACAACACTGGCTGGGGACTGGGAACCCATGGGGAGCCACAGGTGGAAAGGGAGGAGCCTCAGTGAACCCAGCAGGAACAAACATAGGGTCTGACATGATGGAACTCACTTCCTGGAGGCCAAGAAAGACACTTGCGGGACAAAAGGGAAAGAGCGGTGGCTTGCTTAGTTCCATTCACTGACAACCCACAGGAGATGTCCAGTCCTTTTTTGATTTATTATTTTATTTTATTATATTTTATTTTATTTTATTTTATTTTCACATGGAGTTTTGCTCCTATTGGCCAGGCTGGAGTGCAATGGCACGATCTTGACTCACTGCAACCTCCACCTCTCAGGTTCAAGCGATTCTCCTGCCTCAGCCTCCTGCATAGCTGGGATTACAGGCGACTGCCACCACAGCCAGGTAATGTTTGTATTTTTAGTAGAGATGAGGTTTTGCCATCTTGGCCAGGCTGGTCTCAAACTCCTGATCTCATGTGATCCGCCTGTATCAGACTGCCAAAGTGTTGGGATTACAGGCGTGAGCCACCACACCCAGCCTTTTGTATTTTTAGTAGAGATGGGGTTTCACCATGTTGGTCAGGCTGGTCTTAAACTCCTGACCTCAGGTGATCCATCCACCTCGGCCACCCAAAGTGCTGGGAGTACAGATGTTAGCCACCGTACCCAGCGAGAGTTTCAGTGCTCTATCGGATTCCCTGCCTACTCCATGTTGCATGTAATGTTCCACCTCAGGGATGTTTCTCTCCTTTCTGTCTCCTTCCTCTTCTCCTTCTCCTTTTTTCTTTCTAATTTTTATTTTTTTGAGACAGAGCCTTGCTCTGTTACCCAGGCTAGAGTACAGTGGCACGATCCCAGCTCACTGCAACCTCTGCCTCCTGGGTTCAAGAGATTCTCCTGACTCAGCCTCTCAAGTAGCTGGGATTACAGGCACCCGCCATCACACCCAGCTAGTTTTTGTATTTTTAGTAGAGACGAGGTTTCACCATGTTGGCCAGACTGGTCTTGAACTCCTGCCCTCAGGTAATCCACCCGCCTGTGGCCCCCCAAAGTGCTGGGATTACAGGCGTGAGTCACCACTCCCAGCCCTGAATGATCTTTCCTCTTTAGTGTGTTCTCACAACCACCTCTCACTGAGCTTTCTTGTTTTTTGTTTTTGTTTTTGTTTTTGTTTTTGTTTTTGGCAGAGTCTGGCTTTGTTGCCTATGCTGGAGTGCAGTGGTGCAATCTCAGCTCACTGCAACCTCCGTCTCCTGGGTTCAAGCGATTCTCCCACCTCAGCCTCCTGAGTAGCTGGGATTACAGGCACCCACCACCACACCCAGCTAATTTTTGCATTTTTAGTAGACACAGGGTTTCACCATGTTGGTCAGGCTGGTCTCGAACTCCTGACCTTGTGATCTGCCAGCCTCAGCCTCCCAAAGTGCTGGAATTACAGGCATGAGCCACCACTCCCAGCCCTGGATTATCTTTCCTCTTTAGTGTGTTCTCACAACTACCTCTCACTGCTGGGTTTTCTCTCTTTCTTTTTTTTTTTTTTTTTTTTTTTTTTTGAGACAGTCCGGCTTTGTTGCCCAGGCTGGAGTGCAGTGGCGCGATCTCGGCTCACTGCAAGCTCCACCTCCCAGGTTCAAGCGATTCTCCCACCTCAGCCTCCCTAGTAGCTGGGATTACAGGCGCATGCCAGCACACCCAGCTAGTTTTTGTATTTTTAGTAGAGACAGGGGTTTCACCATGTTGGTCAGGCTGGTCTTGAACTCCTGACCTTGTGATCTTCCTGCCTCGGCCTCCCAAAGTGCTGGGATTACAGGTGTAAGCCACTGCACCCAGCCAGCTTTCTCATTCTTATCCCTTAGTTCTCTGCCAGGGAATAAGATAGAAACCATTCCCTCAACCACATTCTAGTCATGGTCCCTATTCTCATGTTTCCACTTCTCTCTCTTTGGTAATAAATCAATTAATTGAGAAACAAGTAGCTAAATGTTCATCTTCTGCTAGTCTGCATCCCCTTATTTTCCCAGAGCCTCCCCTAATGAAACTGACTTTATTTACTGAACGCAGGAAATGGGTCTCTCCAGATCAGGATGACTTTCTGCTGGGAAATATTTGTCTTTGCATCAGTGGGGAAAAAGAAAGCCGATGTCATGAGTGGAGGCTCTGAGAAAATAAGGGCTGTGTTTTCAGTTTAGACCCAGCTAAGTTGGGAGCTGACATAGATATGATGTTGGGTCCACCCTCCACGGGCAGGTTTTCAGACAAAGGATCCCTGGCAATCAGGGGACACCTCAGGTCTGGGCTGAGATGTGTGCAGAGGGCCTGGGTCCTCCTGAGCCCCTGCACTGGGGGGGGAATAAGAGACAGGCCCAGCAAGGGGCTGTCCACTTCCTGTGGGTTCACAGCTGTGGGGACCCAGGCAGGCGGCAGCAGGCTCTGACTTAACCACATCCGTGCATCTGTCTGTCATGGAGGGCCATGTGGTCACCTGTCCCACAGCTGGAGCACGCAGAGCAGGCATCATGGTGTCCATCCTCACTGTTCTTCTGTGCCTCAGTCAGTGGTGGAGAGACGAGGGACAGGAGGGGCACTGGGCTGAGGTGGGGAGGGTCCCACAGCAGCCTTGTTCACCAGAGAGCCTCAGGGCTCCAGTGGCTACTGGTGCTCCAACAGGAAGGGAAGCAGCCACACCTCTGTGTTCCAAATCCCCCACAGGAAACTCTTCTCCATGGCTGAGTCTGGGCCAGAAAGCCCAAGCACTTGCAGGTGAGTCTCTGCTAACCTCCCATGCCTGACCTCACACTCAGCACCTGGACTCTCATCTCAGGGGCTTCTGAACTGAGGGTGAGAAAATCAAGAGGGTCTGTGACCTGAGCTGGGAATGAGGAGCGGGGGAGGTCTGTGGACCCCAGCCTGTGGTTTCTTCCAGGGACCCTCCCCAAACCCAGCCTCTGGGCTGAGCCAGGCTCTGTGATTACCTGGGAGAGCCCCATGACCCTCTGGTGCCAGGGGACCCTGGATACCCAGGGTTACTATCTCACCAAGGAAGGAAACCCCATGACCTGGTACCAACAGAGCCCACCAGAGCCCAGGAACAAGACCAACTTCTTCATCCCATCCATGAGAGAGCACCATGCAGGGAGATACCACTGTCACTATCTCAGCCCTGCAGGCTGGTCAGAGCGCAGCGAGCCCCTGGAGCTGGTGGTGACAGGTAAGAGGACACTCAGGGGTCCCAGCCCCAGGCTCTGCCTGCAGGAAGGGGGTCAGCTCTCAAGGGCATCTCCGTTCTAATAACTCAGCCCTGGGGGATGATGTGGGACGCGTGAGCCCCATTTAAGACAGTGTCTCCTTCTCTCCTAGGAGCCCACAGAAAACCCACTCTCTCAGCCCTGCCGAGCCCTGTGGTGACCTCAGGAGAGAACGTGACCATCCAGTGTAGCTCAAGGGTGGGATTTCACAGGTTCATTTTGATTGAGGAAGGAGAAAACAAGCTCTCCTGGATGCTGGACTCACAGGAACTCTCCAAGGGGCTGTCCCTTGTCCCTGGCCCTGTTCCCTGTGGGCCGTGTGGCTGCCAGTCACCGGTGGATGTTCAGATGCTATGGGCATTACACGAACTTCCCCTGGGTGTGGTCGGAACCCAGTGATACCATGGAGATCCTGGTCTTAGGTATGGATGTCTTCCTCCTTGCCCTATTTATTTTTGAGAACTTACTCTCACGGAGCCCCATGTAGGAGGGTGGAACAAGGGAAGTTTGGGACTCCTGAGCCCAGAGACACTGAGTGTGAGAGACAGTGAGACCTGCAGGGCCAGGAGGGGAGAAGGAAGGGGTGTGGGAGGAACCAGCCCTCCTAGTCCCGACTCTTCTTTCCCTCCAGGCGTGTCTAGGAAGCCCTCCCTCCTGACCCTGCAGGGCCCTGTCGTGGCCCCTGGGGAGAATCTGACCCTCCAGTGTGGCTCTGATGTCGGCTATGACAAATTCACTCTGTACAAGGAGGGGGGACATGACCTCGTCCAGGGCTCTGGCCGGCAGCCCCAGGCTGGGCTCTCCCAGGCCAACTTCACCCTGGGCCCTGTGAGGGTCTCCCACGGGGGCCAGTACAGATGCTACGGTGCACACAACCTCTCCTCCGAGTGGTCGGCCCCCAGTGACCCCCTGAGCATCCTGATCGCAGGTGAGGAGCCCAGCAGGTTCAGTCAGGGACCCAGGCTCCGCACAGGCCCTGCTGGGGGAGCCCAGGTGGTGATGGCCGGGATGAGGGGTGGGGGTCCTAAGGGACGGAGAGACAGACAGAGACAGGGGATGGGCGGGGAGGGGGAGACTCAGAGAAAACAGAGACAGAGACACTGAGGGTCCCAGGGAGAGGCCTGGGGAGGTGTCAGCTCAGAACGAGGTGGGGCAGCCCCTCACCCATCCTTCTTCTCTCCAGGACAGATCCGTGGCAGACCCTCCCTCTCGGTGCAGCCGGGCCCCACGGTGGCCTCAGGAGAGAACGTGACCCTGCTGTGTCAGTCACGGGAGCAGTTGGACACTTTCCTTCTGACCAAGGAGGGGGCAGCCCATCACCCACTGCGTCTGAGATCAGAGCACCAAGCTCAGCAGCACCAGGCTGAATTCCCCATGAGTCCTGTGACCTCAGCCCACGCGGGGACCTACAGGTGCTACAGCTCACGCAGATTCTTCCCCTACCTGCTGTCTCACCCCAGTGACCCCCTGGAGCTCGTGGTCTCAGGTGAGGCCGCTGACCCTGTCCTCTCTGAGCTCAAACCTCAGCTCAGGCCCTGCCCCCAGGAGAGCTCAGGACGCTAAGGAAAGAGGGGAGTAAAGGGGGAGGGTCGGCAGGGGAGGGCCCAGCCCATGAGAGGGTGGAAATAGTCAGGGACCTCCTAATCCTGGGCTCCCACCCCAGAGACCTCAGATGGGGCTAAAGGCCAGGGAGGGCTGAAATGAGATATGGAGAAACCTTGGAGGAATCATGCTTAGGCTGAGGGTAGAAGATGGAGGCCCCACCCACTCCCCACCTGGGCTCCCCTGGCGGCCCCAAAATACTCAGTGCATACCTGAGACGAAGGGGAGATCATGCACCTGCTCACTGCAGCAATGCAGGCAAATTATTCAACAGCAAACCTCGTGTGCAATTCCTTTCTGTCCTTTATTTTTTATGTCCACATATCTAGTTTCTCTTTCTGTTTCTGAAGATTTCAAAGCAATGCTGGCATTTATAATTTACACATTTAATTTGTTAGGTAGCGTTATGATGTAAAATAACTGTGCTCTGATTTTCTTTGGGATTAAATTAAATATGTGCATTCATGATGGAGAATAACTTCTCATTAATAATGTCTTTGTATCCAATACATTTAAAATTAAACTTTATACAGTTAGCAGATGCTTGAAGTTGTATTCATAAAAATTGTGGACATTGTGAATTTTAAGCATTGTTTTACTACTTGAATAATTTGAAAGTCTTTGATTCCTTTCTATTTTCTAAAATTAGTTACGTATGGATGAGAAAGCTATTGGTTTGGGTATGCTAATTTTAGTTCCTATTAACTTACCACAGACACACTCCCTTTCAATCCTTTCCGAAATGATCTCTTCTGATTTATTGATAATAATTACATTAACCACAAGAAAATGGAGGACAAACTTGTTTGTTTCTAAATTATATAATACTCTTCTCACTTCAAATATATATGTATGTGTTTATATATACTCACACACTATTATATATCTTATAATATATATTATGTATTATATATTTATATATACACTATTATATATCTTATATATTATGTATTATATATTTATATATACCCACACATTATTATATCTTATAATATATATTATGTATTATATATTTATATATACCCACACATTATTATATCTTATAATATATATTATGTATTATATATTTATATATGCACTATTATATATCTTATATATTATGTATTATATATTTATATTACCCACACATTATTATATCTTATAATATATATTATGTATTATATATTTATATATACACACACTATTATATATCTTATTATATATTATGTATTATATATTTATATATACTATTATATATCTTATAATATATAATGTATTATATATTTATATATACACACACTATTATATATCTTATATATTATGTATTATATATTTATATATACATACTATTATATATCTTATAATATATTATGTATTATATATTTATATATATACACTATTATATATCTTATTATATATTATATATTTATATATGCACACACTATTACATATCTTATTATATATTTATATGTATACACACACTATTATATATCTTATTATATATTATGTACTATATATTTATATATACTATTATATATCTTATAATATATAATGTATTATATATTTATATATACACACACTATTATATATCTTATATATTATGTATTATATATTTATATATACATACTATTATATATCTTATAATATATTATGTATTATATATTTATATATATACACTATTATATATCTTATTATATATTATATATTTATATATGCACACACTATTACATATCTTATTATATATTTATATGTATACACACACTATTATATATCTTATTATATATTATGTACTATATATTTATATATACTATTATATATCTTATAATATATAATGTATTATATATTTATATATACACACACTATTATATATCTTATATATTATGTATTATATATTTATATATACATACTATTATATATCTTATAATATATTATGTATTATATATTTATATATACACACTATTATATATCTTATTATATATTATATATTTATATATGCACACACTATTACATATCTTATTATATATTTATATGTATACACACACTATTATATATCTTATATATTATATATTTATATATACTCACACTATATCTTATAATACATATTATGCATACACATATGCATAATACATATTATCTATACACATATGCATAATACATATTATGTATACACATATGCATAACACATATTATGTATACACACATATTTACACCTATGCATATATGTATGTATGTATGCGAATGTACCTCTGCCACGGCAGGGAAAGGTTCTATCACACAACTACAGAGCAGTTAGGAGAAGTGTAGACACAAAGGAATGCAGCAACTGAGGGACATGTTGGCTTAAGTCTCTTCAACTCCTCACACACCTCCCCCTTTTTTGGTTGATTCTCAGGAGCAGCTGAGACCCTCAGCCCATCGCAAAACAAGACAGACTCCAAGACTGGTGTGTAAGGAGATGCTCTCGGTTATGGGGCTGGCACAGAGGGTCAGGTCCTGTGAAGGGGAGGTGGGTGCCCTGGGTGGACATCCAGGGGTCCCGGGTGATGTTGATCTGCCCTGACCTCTGAGACCTCTTGGTCCACCATCCCCAGCCTCACACCCCCAGGATTACACAGTGGAGAATCTCATCCGCGTGGCTGTGGCTGGCTTGGTCCTGGTGGTCCTCGGGATTCTGCTGCTTTAGGACTGGCACAGCTAGAGAAGTCCCCAAGATGCAGCAAGGAGGTAAATACATGAGAGAACAATGCACCCTTCAGAGTGCCAGAGCCTTGGCAATGAATCTGATAGTCCTAGGAGGTTCTGGAAGAAAGTCTGGACCATCATTCGGGAAACCGTCTACTGAGAAAGTCGAGAAGGGGAGGCTTGGGTCAGGTTCAGGAAGATGTCTGGGTGCCTGTAGAGAACGCTTCCTCCATTAAACTTCCATTAAATGGCAGTGCTTTCAGTCCTGCTGTTGTGGATCCTCCGTGTCTGCCCCTCCCTTCCTTTCGCTCTCTGTGATGTGAAGGCACGTCCCCCATGGTGGGTTTGCATCCACACCCCTGCGATCACGTGCTCTGGTCCACTGTCATGTAATACATTTGTCTTTGTTTCCAACTACCGCATTCTCTAAAGTGAACTATTGATTCTCCATCTTTTCAGTTCTGAGCATAGATCTGGATTAAATAACTGGAATAGGTGGGCAGATTTGTATTTGGGACTTTGAAACATGAGTCTGAGGCCAGGCACAGTGGCTCACACCTGTAATCCCAGCACTTTGGGAGGCTGAGGTGGGCGGATCACTTGAGGTCAGAAGTTCGAGACCAACCTGGCCAACATGGTGAAACCCTGTCTCTACTAAAAGATACAAAAATTAGCTGGGTGTGGCAGTGAGCACCTGTAATCCCAGCTGCTCAGGAAGCTGAGGCGGGAGAATAGCTTGAACCCGGGAGGCGGAGGTTGCAGTGAGCCAAGATCTTGCCACTGCACTCCAGCCTGGGCAACAGAGCAAGACTCCATCTCCAAAAAAAAAAAAAAAAAGGGAAATATGAGTCTGAAATGATGCCCTAGCACCCTCTCTGGACCCTGAATTCCCTTCACTCTTCATCGGATGATACCTGTGTACTTTGTCCAGAAATATCATCTCTCAGAATGAGCACACTAACGCTCGAAGGCTCAGCCTCATGGTATTCTGTTAAACTGGCTCTCTGAAAAAATTATTTTCTTAAGAAAACTCTGAACATATAAAGCCCCAGATTTATGGTATTTGCTGATTAGTGTGGTATAAATACGTCCTTTATGGCCAACTTCAGGGTGCCCATATGACGCCATTGAATGCACAGTTGGGAAGTAGTCAAAAGAATTGTCGTTCACACGAGTATGAACCAGTTGTAAAGTTTATTTAAAGGTTATAATAATTTCTGCTTCATTCTTATGGTGTAGTTTCAGTAAAATTGTAATGTCAAAAATCATAGCACAATGGAGGGAAAAGAAAAAAATAGGCCGGGTGTGGTGGCTCATGCCTGTAATCCCAACACTTTGGGAGGCCGAGGCAGGAGGATCACCTGAGGTCAGGAGTTCGAGACCAGCCTGGCCAACATGGTGAAACGCTGTCTCTACTAAAAATACAAAAATTAGCCAGACATGGTGGCGCCTGCCTGTAATCCCAGCTACTTGGGAGGCCAAGGCACGAGAATCGCATGAACCCAGGAGGCGGAGGTTGCAGTGAGCCGAGATCACTACAGCCTGGGTGATAGAGCAAGACTCAGTCTCAAGAAAAGAAAAAAGTAGCAAAATCATTTTTTGGAAAGAATATTGAACATGTAGAATTTTAGTACATTAATAGTAAGAGTACAAATTGCTTTAATCAATTAAGGAAGTGTATTGGAATTATCTAGTTAAAAAGAGGAGGCACATGGCTGTGACCCTTCTTAATTATGTACTTAATTATGTACCCTAGAGATAAATGTCTACTTATGTGTCATGATACACTCACAACTGTTATAGGAATGCTGTTCCTATTAGCCAAAGCTATAAAATACCAAAGTCCACCTACGAAAAAAATAAACATAGTGTGGTAAATAGACTCAGTGGAATATTACAAGGTAGTAAAATGCATAAATGAAAATAACAAACAGCACCATACTTCAATTTTCAAGCATAAAGTCAAGTAAATGAAGTATTATTTGAAAATGTGTGCATGGTTATTTCATTACATAAAGGTCAAAAGGAGGGTACATTTATTATTTAGGAAAACACACCTAAGATATCTTTGTAAAATCTGTAAAATCAATAGTACTGTTTCCCCTCTTTCATTCCTTATCTTGAAAATGCTTGTCTCTTTTTCTGCCATGGCTTTCTACCTTGCTTGATATATTACAATTTTGTAACCTGCTTATTTCATCATATGTCATAAGTTCACATGTATATCCCATGAATTATTGAGGGTCTTATTCATTTCAAGTGGCATTTAGGTTTTTAAAAATATCTTTTGGCGACCAGGTGCAGTGGCTCATGCCTGTAATCCCAGCACTTTGGGAAGCCAAGGCAGGTGGATCACGAGTTCAAGAGACAGAGATCATCCTGGCGAACATGGTGAAACCCCGTCTCTACTAAAAATACAAAAAAAAAAAAAAAAATAGCTGGGCATGGTAGAGGGTGCCTGTAGTCCCAGCTTCTCAGGAGGCTGAGGCGGGAGAATGGCATGAACCCGAGAGACGGAGGTTGCAGTGAGCCGAGATCGTGCCACTGCACTCCAGCCTGGCAACAGAGTGAGACTCTGTCTCAAAAAAAAAAAAAAAAGAAAGAAAGAAAGGAAGAAAAAAAAATCTTCTGGCATTAACTATTAAGAAATTGCACTATAAAAAGAGAATATAATGCATAAGACGGCAATTTGAAAAGATTCAGATATAATTTTTTCTTATCTAGTAAATACTTAGTAATTTGTCTAATGCATGCCTTAAATACATACCACTTTATGCAGAGGTTGCCATGAGCCGAGATCGCGCCGTTGCACTCTAGCCTGGGTGGCAGAGCAAGACTCCATCTCAAAAAAAAAAAAGAAAATCTCACAGAAGGAGACCCAGAGCTTCCAGCCTCGCCCAGAGTCTTGGCTCACTCCCTGTGTGTGTGGACCCTAGGGAGCCTCTTCTGTTCCCCACAGAGGTGGAAACTTCCTCCTTAATAACCCCTTGATGGTCCCAGGCACTGGTGACCACTGAGCTTTGCTCTCTCTTTTTTCTTATGGTTCCCTGTCTACTTCCAGGGCTATCACTTTACTTTTTGTGCATTAGACCATGAATAATGTTTTAGAAACATTCTATCAAATTTCTCAGTGCTAGGAACAACTGAGGTTTTTGATTGGGTGCCTCAAATGTCTACCCTTACTGTGGAGTCCGACAACAGGATTCTAACAAGTCCCAACCCCTTCATGCCTTAACCTGGTCTGGAAATAAATTATGTTTAAGCCATCCCATACCCCAGCCACATCAAGCCCCACAACCACTCTGAGAAGTGAGATTTATAGCAAAATGCTCCAAACAAGGTAACTAAGGTTCAGACAAGGGATGTTAATGTGTCCATTTACATAAACAAAAAATGGTAGATGATCAGCTTTCCCTTTGAAATCAGAGTACTAATCTGACTCATTGTTCCCTGAATTTTAGAGGCAGGACCTCAGGAGGAGCTAAGAATCCTACCCCAGGAAAATTACCAATATCAGAAAGGAAACAATGACATCAGTACAGATCCTACAGAATTCAAAAGATTCTAAGTGGACATTATGAAGACATTATTCAGCTTAGATGAAGTGGTCACATATCACAAGAAAACAAACTGTCTAAAACAATCTCTGAAATACCTAGACATTCCCTGAATCATTGAGTTATTAAATAAAATACATTTTAAAATTAAACTCTTTTCAGGAAATAAACTTCAATGTCCCCTAGTGCACTCTCCAAAACATGTAGATGGGAATAAATACTGTTCTGAAAGACATTTCCCTGGAATTACAACCATTCAATATATTTTAAAAGGCAATCATAAAAATATAAAAAGGATATATCAGGAGAAGAAATGTAAATGGCCTAAATTCCCCACATAAAAGGCATAGAGTGGCAACGTGGATAAAAAGCCAAGAGCCAACTGCCTGCTGTCTTCAAGAGACCCATCTCACATGTAATGACACCCACAGGCTCAAAGTAAAAGGATGAAGAAATATTTACTAGGCAACCAGGAAACAAAAAAAAGGAAGGCATTCCTATTCTTATATCACATGAAACACACTTTAAATCAACAGCAATCAGGAAGGACAAAGAAGGGCATTACAAAATGATAAAGGGTTCAATTTGACAGAAGACTTAACTATTCTAAATATATATGCACCCAAATTTGGAGCACCCCGATTCATAAAACAAGTTATTCTTCACCTATGAAAAGAGTTAGACAGCCACACAATAATAGTAAGGGACTTCAGTATCCCACTAACAACGTCAGATGAATCACTAAAACAGAAAACTAACAAAGAAATTCTGGTCTTAAAGACAACACTTGACCAATTGGACCTCATAGACATCTACAGAGTACTCCACCCAACAACTGCAGAATATAGATTCTTCTTATCTGCACACACAAAAAACATATCATATTCTAAGACTGGCCACAAAGCAAGTCTCAATAAATTCAAAGAATCAAAATCATAACAAGGCACACAATAAAAATAGAAAAAAATACCAAGATGATCTCTCAAAACTACAGAAAAACATGGAAATTTAACAACTTGTTTCTGAATGAATATTAAGAGCCATCTATGACAAATCCACAGCCAACATCATATTGAATGGTCAAAAGCTGGAACTGTACCCCTTGAGAACTCTTGGGTGAACAATGAAATTAAAGCAGAAATCACAAAACATTATTTAAAATTAATAAAAATAGAAACAAACTTACCAAAACCTTTGGGATGCAGTTAAAGCAGTGATAAGAGGAAAATTTATAGCAATACATGCCTCATCAGAAGTTTAGAAAGATCTCAAATTAGTGACTTAACACTGCATCTAGAGGAACTATTAAAAAAAAGGAACAGTCCAAACCCAAGGCCAGCAAAAGATGAGAAATAACTAAAGTCAGAGAGAACTGAATAAATTGAGACCAAAAAGTCCATACAAGAGATAAATAAAACCAAGAGTTTTTCTTTGAAAAAAAATAAACAAAATTCATAGACTGTTAGCTAGATTAACAAAGAAAAAGAGAAAAGATCCAAATAAACACAAATAGAACTGACAAAACAATGTTACGAACAATCCCACAGAAATAGAAAAGATCGTCAAAGACTATTATGAACACCTCTATACAAACAAGCTAGAAAACCTAGAAGAAATGGATAAATTCCTGGTAACACAAAATTTATCATATTTCAACCAGGAAGAAAGTGAAAACCTGAACAGACCAATAACAAGTTCAGAAATTTAATCAGTAATAAAAACCCTACTAACTAAAAATAGCCCAGGACCAGATGGATTCACAGCCAAAATCCAACAGCCATACAAAGAAGAACTGATACCGATCTTACTGAAACTTTTGGAAAAAATCAAGGAGTGGGGGCTTCTTCCTAACTCATTCTATGAAGCCATCATCACCATGATACCAACATCTGTCAGAGACATAATGAAAAAAAGAAAACTACAACTAAATATCCTTAATGAACATAGACATAAAATCCTCAACAAAATGCTAGCAAATTGAATCTGTCAGTGCATCAAAAGTTAATTCACATGATCAAGTAAGCTTTATTTTTGGGATGCAAGGTTGGTTCAACCTACAAAGTCAACGAATGTGATTCACCTCATAAACATAATTAAAAACAAAAACTATATGATCATCTCAATAGATGCAGAAAAAGCTTTCTGTAAAATCCAACATCCCTTCATGATAAAAACTGTCAATAGGCATCAAAGGAACATACCTCAAAATATTAAGAGCCATCTATGACAAACCCACAGCCAACATCATATTGATGGGCAAAAGCTGGAACCATACCCCTTGAGAACCGAAACAAGACCAGGATGACCACTCCCGCCATTTTAATTCAACATGGTACTGGAAGTCCTAGCCAAAGCAATCAGGCAAGAGAAGGAAATAAAAGGCATTAAAATTGGAAAAGAAGTAGTGATACTGTCTCTCTTTGCTGATGAAATAATTTTATACATAGAAAACCCTAAAGACTCTGTCAGAAGGCTCCTGAAACTGATAAACAAATTCAATAAAGTTTCGGGATTAAAAAAATGTACACAAATTAGTAACATTTCTATGCACCACTAACATTCTAGCTGAGAACTAAATCAAGAACACAATTCCATTTACACTAGCCACAAAGAAAATAAAATACCTAGGAATCCATCTAACCAAGAAGGTGAAAATTCTCTACAAGGAGAACTACAAAACACTTCTGAAAGAAATAAGAAATGATACAAACAAATGGAAGAATATTCCATGCTCATGAATTAGGAGAACAAATAGTTAAAATCGCCATACTTCCAAAAACAAATTGCAGACTCAATGCTATCCATTTCAAAATGCAATGTCATTTTTCACGAAATTATAAAAATTTATTCTAAAATGTATTTGGCACCAAAAAAAGAGCCTGAATACACATAGGAATCCTAAGCACAAAGAACAAAGCCCAGGCATCACATTACCCAACTTCAAACTATACTACAATGCTATAGTAACCCAAACAGCATGATACTACTACAAAAACAGACACATAGACCAATGAGACAGAATAGAGAACCCAGAAATGAGGCTACATACCTACAATCATCTTTGAAAAAATTGACAAAAACAAGCAATGTGGAAAGTACCCTTTCTTCAATAAATAGTTCTGGGATAACTGACTACTCATATGCAAAATAATAGAACTGGACCCCTAACTCTCACTATATACAAAAATTAACCCAAGATAGTTTAAAGATTTAAATGTAAAACCTCAAAATATTAAAATTCTAGAAGAAAACCTAGGAAATATCCTTCTCAAGATAGACTTTGGCAAAGAATTTATGGCTAACTCCCCAAAACCAATTGTGACAAAGACAGAAATTGGGACCTAACTCAACTGAAGAGCTTCTGCACAGCAAACGAAAGTATCAACAGAGTAAACAGATAACCTACAGACTGGGAGAAAATATTTGCAAACTATGCATCTGACAAAGTTCTAATATCCAGAATCTATAAGGAATGTAAACAAATCAACAAGCAGAAAACCAAAAAACCTCAATTAAGTATGACATGAACAGACACTTCTCAAAAGAAGATGTACACATGGCCAAAAAACATATGAACAAATGCTTATTATCAGTAATCATCAGAGAAATGCAAATTAAAACCACAGTGAGATACCATCTCACAACAATCAGAGAAGCAGAAGCAATTACTAAAAAGTTTTTTGTTTTTTTTAATAACAGATGCTGACAAGATTGTGGAGAAAAGGGAACACTTATACACTCTTGGTGGGAATGTTAACTAGTTCAGCCAATGTGATAAGCAGTTTGGAGACTTCTCAAATAACTTAAAATAGAACTACTATTCAATCAAGCAATCCCACTACTGGGTATATACCAAAAGGAAGGTAATTAACTATGTCAAAAAGACACATGCACTAGTATATTCATTGCTGTGCAATTCAGAATAGCAAAGATTTGCAGTCAACCTAAGTGCTCACCAACAGTGGATTAGTTAAAGAAAATGTGCTACATATACACATGGAACATTACATGGCCATAAAAAATAATGAAATCATGTCCTTTGCAGCAACATGAATGTAGCAGGAGGTCAATCTCCTAAGTGAACTAACCCAGGAACAGAAAACCAAATACCACATGTTATCACTTATAACTGAGAACCAAACATTGAATACACATGAACATAAAGATGGAAACAACAGATACCGAGGACTACAGATGGGGGGAGGAGTAGGGAGGTATAGGCTGAAGAAACACCTGTTGGATTCTATGCTCATTGCCTGGGTGATGGCATTGTTGGAACCACAAACCTCAGAGTCACACAATATGCCTATGTAACAAACCTGCATGCATACCTTTAATCTACAGTAAAGGTTGAAGTTATTTAAAAATAGGAAGAAGAATTACCCTATACCTAAAGCTAAGATTTTTCCCTTTGAATATTCGTTTCTTCATCACTGTAGATAAGCAGGGAAAGAAAAATTATTATACTATACTAGCCTTTTATGTGACCATGAGGATTTGGGGTAGGTAGGTGGACAGCTTAGATAATTCACCAGGATATTGATACAGGCTCCATGGCTGGAAATAACCAAGGATGAGTGCTGTGTTTTGAGTGGTCTCCCCCAGAAACGTTTGTTGAAATCCTAACCCCTGGTATGTATGAATGTGAATTCATATTATATAAAAAGGAATAAATAGCCTGAGCACAGTGGCTCACACCTGTAATCCCAGCACTTTGGGAGGCCAAAGCAGGTGGATCATTTGAGGTCAGGAGTTCTGGCCAATATGGCAAAACTTCATCTCTACAAAAAAAAAATACAAAAAAAAAAATTGGCTGGGTATGGTGGCGCATGCCTGTAGTCCCAGCTACTCAGGAGGCTGAGGCAGGAATTGCTGAAACCTGGAAGGCAGAGGTTGCAGTGAGCCAAGATCATGCCACTGCACTCCAGCCTGGGTGAGACGGCAAGATATTCTGTCAAAAATAAATAAATAAAAAACAGAAGAAGAAATACAAGAATGACAGCAAACTTTGTATTCAAAACTATGAAAGTAAGAAATAGGTGGACCAACATTTTTAAAGTGCTACAAGAAAATATTTCAAACTAGAATCTTTCAACCTGAAAAGGAAAACATTTTCCTGCAATAAAGGTGCCATTAAAAATGTCTCACAATTTATTACATGAAGCATTGTTCTACAATAAATGTTAAGCTCTTGAAGCAAAGATTAATGATACCATTTAGTAACTTGAAATTCAAAAAAGTGGAAGTATCCCAAGAGGCAAATACGTGTGCAATTATTAAATGTTTCATATCAACACCCAACCTTATGCTGTCTACATAAGCTGCACTTCAAATACTAATCCACAAGATGTAAATATTGAAAGAATGACATTACATTGTCATGATAATGCCCAGTGCAAAATATGCTTCTAGTCAGTTGTATACATAGAATAGGTAAATGTTTGTAAAAAAAATTATTTCCTCAATTAGAAAGTTTTTTTAATTAAAAAGAAATGAAAAAAATTTCTCCATGCACCATACAAAGAAGAGAATTTTAGGGAGTTATGAAGGGGGATTTCTTCTTAATGACAAAAGAGGCAAATTTCTAAATAAAGACTTAATAATTCCTAAAAGCTTCACCCCTAAAGCGGGAACCTTCAAAACCCATAAAATAAAGGCATAATTCAAAACTTAATCAATCACATCCAAATTGCAGTAGAGGATAGCCACATTCACCTCACTTCCAGAACAAGTACACAGAAAATTATTAAGCATATGAAAGACTTGAAAAACATTTGTGTAGGCGGCGGGTGCATAAGGTTGGGTGTTGATATGAAACATTTAATAATTTCAATAATCCTAGCACTTTGGGAGGCCAAAATGGGAGGATCACTTGAGGCCAGGAGTTTGAGACCAGCCTGGGCACCATAGTGAGACCCCGTCTCTATTTTTTTTAAATAAAGAAAAACATTTGAATGATTTTTTTCTTAACTGACATTTAGAAAACATCCACCTCAAATCTTCCTAATCCACAAACTTGTCTAGCACCCCTGGAACATTCACCAAAATAAATTTTTAAATGCTGAATCATAGGTAATATGATAGATGAAACAGTTGAATTAAATTATAAATGTACAACAAGGAAATGCTGGGGAAATTATCAAATATTTTAAAATTAATAAACACACATAGCAATAAACAATGAGTGGAAGAAAAACATTTCAAAGAAAGGTGGAAAATATTTTGTATCAATTAAAAATGAAAACACATCTCGGCAAATGACTGGGGATACAGATAGAACAGTGTTAAAGGAAAATAAGCCTCAAATGTCTGTGTTAGAAAAGAAGGAAGAGCTGAGTAAATAGGTAACTTTCGCTTGCAGAAATACTACACATCAGCAAATTAATTCCAAAGTAACGTCGAGGAAAAACATAAAATGGCAAGCAAATATATACGTGCATATGTACGTATATTCATAAATGACAAACAGGACAGAAAAATCAGTGACATCAATTTTGTTCCTTAGAAGAAACAGGAAAATTGACCCCAAAAAACTTTCCAGGCCACATTTGGTCATGATGGAAATATTTTGGCACTTCCTGGTTAAGCTCAACACCAACTTGCACCCAAAACCAATAATTTCATTCCTAGGTAAATATGTCTAATTAATTCAGCATATGTATGCAAGGGATCACACAGAAACACGATTATCAAGGCCCGAGTTATAAAAGAGAAAATCCGGAAACAACACAAATGTCCATGATAAAAAGAGTGGATAATTACATGTTGATAAAGTTATGTATGGACTATTAAACTGCAATCCAAAAGAATAAAATAGAACTATAAAATTCAATATGTATATGGTGTCATAGAAACACAAATGTGAGAAAAAGAAAGAAAAATACAAAATTTATATTTTTTAAAATTTGAAACAACTATATATGTGAGTGCTTAGGGTGTGTGTGTGTGTGTGTGTGTATAACCATATGTATATAAACGCACACATACGCACACATATAGAATGTCCCGGCCAGGCATGGTGGCTCACACCTGTAATCTCAGCACTTTGGGAGGCTGAAGTAGACAGATCACTTGAGGTTAGGAGTTCAAGACCAGCCTGGCCAACATGGAGAAACCTCCTCTCTACTAAAAGTACAAAAATTAGGTGGGCGTGATGGTGGGTGCCTGTAAATCCAGCTACTTAGGAGGCTGAGGCACGAGAATTGCGTGAACCTGGGAGGTGGAGGCTGCAATGAGCCGAGGTCTCACCACTGCATTCCAAACTGGGTGACGAAGTGAGATTGCGTCTCAAAAAAAAAAAAAGTTCTAAAAGTTGTGACTTGGGTGTGGCAGATTGTGACATACTGCCAGCTGCTAGAAATGCTGGGGCAGGAGGATTGCTTGAACTCTGAAGTCAAAGAACAGCCTGGGGAAAATAGCACATGAAGAAGAGTTTGAATCTCAGATAAAAACAACAAAAATACATCAAAAGTCTTTAATGTAAGCCAAGCATTCAGTCATCTCCTGTATGAGAGATTGGATCTGAGACGTGTTTTGAGTTGGTTATAGTGAAGGATGCAAGGTGTCAATTCTAGTTGGAACAATTTCCAGGAAGCCATGTTCCGCTCTTGACCAAACAGCCACTGGGCCTCATGCAAGGTAGAAATAGCCTGCATACGTCATCCTCCCATGATGTGGTCAGCATGTAAACTGCATGAGCCCCTCACAACATCCTGTGTGCTGCTGAACTGAGCTGGGGCGCAGCCGCCTGTCTGCACCGGCAGCACCATGTCGCTCATGGTCGTCAGCATGGCGTGTGTTGGTGAGTCCTGGAAGGGAATCGAGGGAGGGAGCGCTGGGGTGGAGATCTGGGCCTGGAGTGGAGATCTGGGCCTGGAGTGGAGATATGGGCCTGGAGTGGAGATATAGGCCTGGAGTGGAGATATGGGCCTGGGGTGGAGATATGGGCCTGGAGTGGAGATATGGGCCTGGAACTGTAGATATGGGCCTGAAGTAGAGATATGGGCCTGGAGTAGAGATATGGGCCTGGAACTGTAGATATGGGCCTGGAGTGGAGATATTGGCTTGGAGTGCAGATATGGACCTGGAATTGAGATACGGGCCTGGAGGTGGAGATATGGGCCTAGAGTGGAGATATGGGCCTGGAGGTGGAGATATGGGCCTGGAACTGTAGATATGGGCCTGGAGTAGAGATACGGGCCTGGAGTGGAGATGTTGGCTTGGAGTGCAGATATGGGCCTGGAATGGAGACACGGGCCTGGAGGTGGAGATACAGGCCTGGAGGTGGAGATATGGGCCTGGAGTGTAGATATGGGCCTGGAGTAGAGATATAGGACGGAGGTGGAGATATAGGCCTGGAGTGGAGATATGGGCCTGGAGTAGAGATATAGGACGGAGGTGGAGATATAGGCCTGGAGTGGAGATATGGGCCTAGAGGTGGAGATATGGGCCTGGAGTGGAGATATGGGCCTGGAGGTGATGTACAGATGGATCATCCATCATGATCTTTCTTTCCAGGGTTCTTCTTGCTGGAGGGGCCCTGGCCACATGTGGGTGAGTCCTTCCCCCAAACCTTAGGTTGTCATCTCCCCACATAAGATGATGCTCCTGAAACGGGAGGCAGGCGACACAGGGGGTTGACTGATGGGCTGACCATGGGAAGCCATGTGGGAATCTCTCATGAACTAGGAAAAGGAAGCCAGGGGAAGCTTCGCCACAGTTCTGTCCTAGCCCTCCCCGGCCTTTCTTTCCCTTGGCTGAGTCTGTGGGGACCCAGGGGGAGACTGAAGTGCTCAAAGGAGTGGTGTGCAGGGAGGAAGTGGTGTCACCGGCAGAGGAAGGGAGAGAAGCAGTGCAAGGAACAACAGGCCTCTGAGGACAAGAGCATAACTCACACCCTCCAGCGTTTCCATGACGGTAGGGGCTGCAATGTGGCTGCTGTCATTCTACCTAAGAGGTGGGGGAACCACAGTCATGACCCTGACATTCCAGATCTTCTAATAGGGGCTCAGTTGTTTATTATGGTTCATGCATTAGCTGATCATGCCCTCCATCCTGTGTCTACCTTGTGTTCTTTTATGTAAGTAATTTTGCAGTGTTAAAATCTAGTAAGAGTCGCTTCTTCAGCACCTGCTCAAAGTTCTCAGCTGACACTTGCTGTAGGGAGACGCCATGTCTATGCGGGATGGGTCCTTCCTGTAGCCCTGGGCACCCAGGTGTGGTAGGAGCCTTAGAAACGTGGAAATGGGAGAATCTTCTGAGCACAGGGAGGGAGGGGCGGCTCCACATCCTCCTCTCTAAGGTGGTGCCTCCTTCTCCCCCAGGTGGTCAGGACAAGCCCTTCCTCTCTGCCTGGCCCGGCACTGTGGTGTCTGAAGGACAACATGTGACTCTTCAGTGTCGCTCTCGTCTTGGGTTTAATGAATTCAGTCTGTCCAAAGAAGACGGGATGCCTGTCCCTGAGCTCTACAACAGAATATTCCGGAACAGCTTTCTCATGGGCCCTGTGACCCCAGCACATGCAGGGACCTACAGATGTTGCAGTTCACACCCACACTCCCCCACTGGGTGGTCGGCACCCAGCAACCCTGTGGTGATCATGGTCACAGGTCAGAGGCTTTCTGTCTGGGCTTCTCACTGTCCCACCTCCTGAATCCCAGAGCTTCTGGTGGGGGCGTCCATCAGGGTCCAATCATCCAGGCCCCGACTGTATTTGGGGTAAAGGGGGATTCAGTACAGAGAAATAGTTGCTGTGGTGGGAAGAATAATTGTCCCCAGTGATGGCTACATGGTAATCCATGAACCCTGTGACTATTTATGTTATAGGGCAGGGGACTGAAGAGGAAGATGGAGCTCAGGTTGTTGATGAGTTGACCTTGCGATGGGGAGACAGCCTGGACTGTCCTGCTGTGCTCAGAGTAATCACAAGGGTCCTCATGAGAGGAGGAGGAAGAGGAAAGTGGGGTTAGAGCAACGTCGTGGGAGGGAGACTCCATCAGCCACAGCGGGCTTTGAAGATGGGGGAAGGCCATGAGCCACAAAGGCAGGTGGCCTCTAAGGGCTGGAGAAGTCAAGGGAACTGATTCTTCCCTGAGTCTCCAGAGGAAACACAGCCCTGCAGATGCCTTGATTTTAGCCCAGAGAGAACTGGGTCCGATTTCTGTTCTCCAGAAGTGGAAGGGGTCATTGTATTCTCTCCTGCCCCATGTTTGTGACAATTTTCTCCAGCAGCAACAGGAAACCAACACAGGAACCCAGGTGAAGCACAGGTTAAGAAACCAAACAAGGAGAAGGTTGGCTACACTGATTTTAGCATGGGTGGGATACTGATGCTACCACCAGGCTCGATCCACATAGGGAGGGGTTGATGCTCCTGGAACCAGCACCAGGGGCCACCCTATGGAAGCTGGGGCCATGGAGAAGGCACAGACATGAAAGGAGAGGCTCCCAATCCCCATCAGGAACAGGGACACTGATGCCTGCCTTACTGATGAGTTCGTACCTCCTGCCGGCCTTTCCAATCTGTCCAAAAGAGATTGATTCAGGCTGCTAAGAGCCTGGACATGCAGCCTGTCATGGTTCCTCTTCCACCCCCACATAAACACCAGGAAAGAGATTAGTGGGAAACAGATACAACAGCCTAAGAGGTGACACTGAGCACAGTGGGAAGGGAATCAGGGCTACTAGAGACAGAGAGACAGGGAAGAGGGAGGGAGACAGATGGAGGGACCTGCAACAGGGGTTATGGGCACAAAAGAACACGGAGACACAGACAGGAAGGAGAGAGATAGACACCATGGAGGGGAAGCCTCACTTATTTCAGGTCCCATGAATGGGATGAGAAAGGGAGACGCCTTCTGAACTCACAACCTCTCTTCTTAGGAGTCCACAGAAAACCTTCCCTCCTGGCCCACCCAGGTCCCCTGGTGAAATCAGGAGAGACGGTCATCCTGCAATGTTGGTCAGATGTCAGGTTTGAGCGCTTCCTTCTGCACAGAGAGGGGATCACTGAGGACCCCTTGCGCCTCGTTGGACAGCTCCACGATGCGGGTTCCCAGGTCAACTATTCCATGGGTCCCATGACACCTGCCCTTGCAGGGACCTACAGATGCTTTGGTTCTGTCACTCACTTACCCTATGAGTTGTCGGCTCCCAGTGACCCTCTGGACATCGTGGTCGTAGGTGAGAGAATACAGACCTGCCTCTCACCCTTGCTGGGAGATGGAGTGAATGATCTAGGACTGGAAGCCCCAGGTGGTCATGAGGAAGATGAGTGTGGGGTTCCTATGGAGAGAAAGTGACTTGGTGAGGTCTGTACCAACAAAGGCAGAGAAACAGGAGACACAAGTACAGACCTCATGTCATAACATAGAAGCCAGACACAGGGGCCATACAAGGTGTTAGAAAAAGAGATAAAGAGGTAAAGAAGACACAGAGAGACAGACATATCCCAGAGAGAGGTGTCCTTCTATGCTGACTTTGTTCAGAGACCAGGCACAGGTTAGAAGGTTCCATTCTGTTTTACCTCTACAAAGTGTTCTCTCCCAGGAGAACCCAAAGAGACACATCTATCTGGCCTGAGTTGGGCCATGTGGCCCCAGGCTGGTGGCACCTACAGATGTTGTGTTTATTCTTAAACCTCTGCCTTCCGTGCAGTGGAGCTGTCATAGTCCCAGGACACCATGGCCCCAGGTGAGGGAGCAGAACACCAACCCCTGTATGCTGTGAGTTCCTGGAGTCCCCATACTGGATTCTGAGGCTCATATTCAAATAGCACCACATGTTATAGGATTACTGAGAACAAAAGCCCACAGAGAGACACGGAGTGAAATCAGGGAAATCAAAAAGCAAAGACATGAACACACACACAGAATGAGCCAGAAGAAGGGAATTGAGAGACTCACAGACACATAAAGAGATAGAAAAAGAGGGCAGAGAAGTGGAGCGTATGATGGAAGGAAGCAGAGAAAAGCCCTAAAATCAGAGCCCTGAGGGAGGGGCACAAAGACAGGGAAAGATAAAGATGTGAGGATGGATTGCAGAGACTCCAAAAGGGAACTAGAGAGACTGAGAGGCAGAGAAAGACAAGGAGATGGAGAGAGACAGATGATAGATGGACAGATAGATATAGATAGATGAAAGATAAAAGGTAGATGATAGATAATAGAGAGACAGGTGATAGACAAATAGATGATGAATGACTGATAGATGATATAGATAGACAAGTAGAAAGACAGACAGATGATATATAAATAGATATAGAGAGATAGAAAGACAGATAAACACATGATGATAGATGGATAGATGCATACATACATACATTGATTGATAGATGATAGATAACAGAGAGATAGGTCATAGATACACAGATGATGATAGATGATAGATACATACATAGATAAATGATAGATCGATCAATAGATAATAGATAGAAATATGCAGAAAGTTATGAGCAAGACAGAAAGTGAGAGACTCAGAATTAAAGAAAGAGGAAGATCAAGTCAACCAGTCCAAGGAGGGTCAGAGAGAATAAAATGGTACAAAAAAAGAAAACATAGCTAGGGATGGAGAAGTGAGGTCAGAGACCTAGAGAGACAGAGAAGGTGGAAGGAGGAAATAGACATGAAGAGAGATGGGGGTGGAGGGTGAGAGAGAGAAAGAGAGCATTAAGTCATAGAGCAGGGGAGTGAGTTCTCAGCTCAGGTGTGAGGAGAGCTGTGACAAGGAAGAACCTCCCTGAGGAAACCACCTCTTCTTCTTCCAGGTCTATATGGGAAACCTTCTCTCTCAGCCCAGCCGGGCCCCACGGTTCAGGCAGGAGAGAATGTGACCTTGTCCTGCAGCTCCCGGAGCTTGTTTGACATTTACCATCTATCCAGGGAGGCGGAGGCCGGTGAACTTAGGCTCACTGCAGTGCTGAGGGTCAATGGAACATTCCAGGCCAACTTCCCTCTGGGCCCTGTGACCCACGGAGGGAACTACAGATGCTTCGGCTCTTTCCGTGCCCTGCCCCATGCGTGGTCAGACCCGAGTGACCCACTGCCCGTTTCTGTCACAGGTGAGAAAACACCATGCCTGTCCCATGTCTTGTGATCCTAGAGCCATAGCTGAGGAGCTTCCTGCTGATGATGGAGAGAAGCATGGACAGATGCCGAGACAGAACACACAGCATGGGTGTAAGGGCGGGGTCAGGGCGCAGGATGGCAGACAGGGCACCTCCAAACCCTCCTGTATGGCCTGCAAGGATGCCCTTGATCAGGGTTCCAGGCACCCAGGCAGATGGAGAAAGAGGTCAGAACAGACCCAGAGGAGGGAGACTGGGCTCTGCCTGGGGAGATCAGAGGTTCTCTCAGCCCCTCAACCTTACCCACTTCCCAGAAGCCCATCCTGGCCTGTCACCCACAGAGAGATGTCATCACCAGCAACGCCTACACCCTTTTCTTTTTGTTTGAAGAAATATTTATTGAGGTGAAATATACCTATGTAATTTACCACCTTTACCATTTTTAAGTGTGAAGTCTACTGTTCATAAATACATTTATAGGCTGGGCACGGTGGCTCACGGTTGTAATCCCAACACTTTGAGAGGCCAAGGCAGGTGGATCATTTGAGATCAGGGGCTCAAGACCACCCTGGCCAACATGGGGAAAATCCATCTGTACTAAAAATACAAAATAATAATTATAATGATAATAATTAGCCGAGCATGGTGGCACATGCCTGTAGTCCCAGCTACTTGGTAGGGTTGGGCAGGAGTTGCACTTAATTGCAGGAGGCGGAGGTTGCAGTGAGCTGAGATCATGCCACTGCACTGCAGCCTGGGCAACAGAGAGAGACACTCTCTCAAAATTAATTAATTAATTAATTAGTATTCTTTTTTTTTTACCCTCCACCCTTCCCTTCCTGGCCTCTGGTAGCCACCATTCTACTCTCTACCTTTGTGAGATCCACCTTTTAGCTCCTGCATATGAGTGAGAAATGGAAATACTTGTAATGACCTCCAGTTCCATTCATGTGGCTGTAAATGACAGGATGTTACTCTTTCTATGGATGAGTTGTCCCTATTGTGTGTGTGTACCACATTCTCTCCATCCATTCACCCACTGATGGGCAGGTAGGTTGATCCACATCTTGGCTACTGTGAACACTGCTGGAACAGTCATGGGAGTGCAGATGTCACTTCGATACGCTGATGTCCTTTCCTTTGGGTTTACACCCAGTCATGGAATTGCTAGATCCTCTGGAAGTGTCTTTTTACATTTTGTTTTATGGTTTTTGTTTTTGTTTTTGTTTTTTTTAGACTGTTTCACTCTTGTTGCCCAGGCTGGAGTGCAGTGGCGCCATCTGGGCTCACTGCAACCTCCACCTCCAGGATTCAAGAGATTCCCCAGCCTCAGCCTCCCAAGTAGCTGGGTTACTGGCTCCCACCACCACACTCGGCTAATTTTTATATTTTTAGTAGAGACAGAGTTTCGCTATATTGGCCAGGCTGCTCTTCAACTCCTGACCTCAAGTGACCTACCCACCTCGGCCTCCCAATGTGCTGGGATTACAGGCATGAACCACTGTGCCCGACCTCATTTTATTTTTTGAGGAACTTCCATACTCTTCTCCTCTGTAATGGCTGTACTAATTTACATTCGTATCAGCAGTGTACCAGATGCAACCCTGGTTGACTCAGCAGAGCAAGAGACGTGCAGTAAGAGAGAATTTAGCTTATTTATGCACACGACACTTCCACTCACTCACTCGTTCAGCCAATGCCCCATGCTCAGGCTGTGCAGTGTGGAATCTTTTCCTATTGTTGCCATAACAAATTTCCACAAGCTTCGTGGATGAAAACATGTTTTTCTTAATTATCTCACAGTGCTGTAACTCAGAAGTATGAACTGCATTTCACTGGGCTGATATCAAAGGGACAGTAAGGCTGGATTTCTTTTTAAGGTTCCAAGCAAGAATCTGCTCCTTAACGTTTCCCAGCTCCTAGAGGCTCCCACGTTCCTGGGCCCCTGGTCCCCTTCCTCCTTCCTCCTTCCTCAAAGCCCACAAAGGCTGGTCACGTCTCACATGGCATCATTCAGACTCTTCTTCTTTACCCACACCTTTTTCTCTGAATCCTGCTCTGCCTTCTTCCTCATCTTTTAAGGACTTTGGGATTCTATTGGGGTCACCAAGATAATCCATCTCAATCTCCCTAAAATCATCCAGCGTACCCTCTTTTTAAGTTCAGCTGATTAGCAACCGTAATGCCATCTGCAATCTTCATTCCTCCTTTCCTGTAAAATAACATATTCACAAGCTATGGAGGCTAAGACAGGGACATTTTGGGGGTGGGGCAGCATTCTCCTGCCTTCCACAAATGGTAAACAGGATGCATTTGGCCTCTGCTCTTGGGACGCTGATATTGCAGATGGGTAAATGCGAGGGCAGAGAATGAATGCACAAGGGTACCAATAAATGAATGATCCATTGGGAAGCATCTGTGCACCAAATCTGGGGTTTTTTGTGTGTGTGTGTTTTTTTTGTTTTCTTTTTTTTTTTGAGTAGAGTCTCTCTCTGTTCCACAGGCTGGAGTGCAGTAGCACAATCTCAGCTCATTGCAACCTCTGCCTCCTGGGTTCATGCAATTCTCCTGCCTCAGCCTACCGAGTAGCTGGGATTACAGCTGTGCGCCACCACACTCGGCTAATTTTTTTGGTATATTTTTTTAGTAGAAATGAGGTTTCACCATGTTGTGCAGCCTGTCTCAAACTCCCAATCTCAAGTGATCCCACCGCCTTAGCGTCCCTAAGTGCAAAGATTACAGGCGAGAGCTACTGCGCCCAGCCAGGATTTAAAATAAGTAATAGATAATGCTGAGTATATAATTTCAGGTGACAGAGAAGGTCTCACTGATCAGATAATATTTGTGACCTTAATGGAAAAAATGGATTCAACCCTTGGAAGATTGGCGGAAGGATTTTCCACACTGAGCTCTCAGCCGTGAAGGCACAAAGGTGGAAACATTCTTAGTTCAAGGAAGAGGCTCTGCCTCAAATGCTGGGAATGAAGTGGGGAGAATGACAAGACAACTGTAGAGAGATGGAGAGCACACTGGGTACACAGGAAACTAAGGAGGAACAAGGAGCGTGTGTTTGATACTCACAGCCATTGGATTCAACTCAGAGCTAACTAGGAATCCCTACCTGATTAACAGTGACCGACATGAAAATAAGGGAGGCCCAGGTGCGTAACTGGAATCTAGGAGACCGTGGAAAAGGCAATTCCCGCCCCACTGGTGAAACGTAGGGTTGATTTACACACTAAATGAATGAAAGATGGATATAAGCTATGCTTGTGAGGTAGAATCATTTGCAGGGAGGGCTTGCTGGGTTTGATTTTTCCTAGTAGTTTAATCCTTGTTTCATTAATTTCTTTCTGAGATGTGTTTTTTTTCTACATCTAAATCAATACCTGGCAGAGGAGCGATAGACACATGAGGGGTGGTGCAAATGAAGGGACCTAGTATAATATAATATACAAGACTGTGGATGGGGGCTCACACCTGTAACCCAACACTTTGGGAGGCCAAGGCGGGTAGATCACTTAAGGGTAGGAGTTTGAGACCAGCCTGGCCAACATGGTGAAACCCCGTCTGTACTAAAAATACAAAAATTAGCCTGGTGCATTGGCACCTGCCTGTAATCCCAGCGACTGGGGAGGCTGAAGCAGAAGAATGGCTTCAACCCTGGAGGCAGAGGTTGAACTGAGATCGCATCACTGCACTCCAGCCTGACACAGGGGGACTCTGTCTCAAAAAATAAAAATAAAACATACATAATTATGACACACAGAAATTACAAAGGCAACTGGATACCAACCATCATTTTTCTATTTCTCTGTGTTTAATTCTTTGACCCTTTATCTTATCCATTAAACAATCAGGTTAAACCTCTTCCTTATTTGGCTTTCTGTGAGCTTGGGATCATATGGAAAATGTGAAAGCCTCCTGAACCCACCAGCACAGGTCCTGGAATAGAGAACGTGCTCTGTTCATGGCATAAAACTTGCCCCTTCACCCAAATCCCCCAATTCATCTCTACTTCCAATCACCTATGGAGATACAGATAGATCATGGGGAGGTAAACACTAATACTCTTTGGAGTGAGCTCAGATCTTGGACTCAGAGACCAGTGCCAGCACTAGCCCCTGGTCACATTTCGTACTAACTCACAGAAGGACAGGCTGTATTGAAACAATAAACGACGGAGAGGGCGGTCCTTCCCCGTGCTTCTCGGGTGGAATAGCAGCCTAATATATGTCTCAGCAGATCACAAAAAGTAGCATGTTGTTCCTGGGCTACATCATTATTTCATGGCTGTTTGATTTAAGTCAGTTCTACTTCACTTTTTTTATCTTGATTTCATTTTTTCTTTCTTTTCTTGGAGAATGTAATTTTTTTGAGTCAAGAGGGTTGTGGTGGTAGAAACTGTAAAGCACATTCGCTGTGTATCAATCCCAATCCAGTCTTCCCAGAGAAGACTCTAAACACCTCCTGGAATGTACCTGGGCCTATACCAATTCCTATCACTCACCGTCACTCCAGGGAGACAGAACACACAGAGAACACATTACACAGGCAGGTTCATTACTAACAGATAAGCAGCGAGTGACAACAGAAGCCTACATTTCAATGTGAGCCAGTCCCTCAAGGCTCAGAAAAGCTGCTCGAGACATGTGGAGTCACCCCATATGCAGTGTATCTGGGGGAAATCAAAAAGCAGCCCAGCCTGGGTTTTGTACCCTGGAGCCACAGGAAGCACTCAGCTAAAGCACTGCATGACGTCCTCCTCCAGGAAGAACAGGAAGACAGCCCAGGCTGTTCTGGGATGTTCCTCCTGATCTCAGGACTTTGCTGTCTTAGTCCATTTTTGTTGCTCTAAAGGAACACTTGAGCCTGGGTAACTTCTAAAGAAAAGAAATGTGTTTGCCTCACAGTTCTGCAGGCTGTACTGGAAGCATGGCACCAGCATCTATTTCTTGTGACGGCCTCAGGCTGCTCCCGCTCTGGCAGAAGGGAAGGAGGGTCTATCTGTGCAGAGACCACAGAGATCACACGGCAAGAGAGGGAGCAAGGGGGAGGGGGAGCGATGGAGCTTCCAAGTTCTTTTTAACAACCAGCTCTCCAGGAACTAATAGAGGGGGAACTTGCTAACCCCATCTCCTTGGGACAGCATTGATCTGTTCATGATGGATCCACCTCCATGACCCAAACACCTCCCAAGAGGCCCAACCTCCCACCCTGGGGGTTACATTTCAATGTGAGGTTTGAAGTGGTCAAACATCTAAACTAAAGCAGTTGTATCCTCAGCACGTTCTATGGTTACTACAACTGAGAAAGCAGGAGGAAGCTAGGTCTCCCGCCATCTGGGTGCTTGTCCTAAAGAGACGTTGTATGTGGTTACCTGTCAATCAAGAAATGTGAGACAATTCATATAGAGGAACTGCTATGATTAGCTTCTTATTGGTGTCTTGTCTTCCTCCAGGTAACTCCAGATACCTGCACGCTCTGATTGGGACCTCAGTGGTCATCATCCCCTTTGCTATCCTCCTCTTCTTTCTCCTTCATCGCTGGTGTGCCAACAAAAAGAGTAAGTCTCACGAAGCAGAAGCCAGAGAGCTCAGGGCCATGTGGGGAAGCAGGATGGGAGCACTCAGGTGTGTGTTCCTTACAGGCAGGATGGTCCCTGACCCAAGGCAGGAGCCACAGAGGCAGGACTTTCTAGAGAGAGCACCAGACTCCCTGCCCCTGCCTTCAGCTCACAGACCATTGCCTGATTCTGAACCATATCCTCACATCCCCTGCAGCCACTCACATCCAGGAGAAGGTTCCATGACAGGCAGAAAGTGGGAGACAGAATCAATGGGATGGGAACTCAGAGCTATTCATGGGATGGGTCCTTGAGCTCAGAGAGATAGAATGTCTGAGTCTGCTGTTGGCAACTGAGGGACCTCAGGCACCTATGGCCTCCCCCTGCATGTTGGTATCTGCTTATGAAATGAGGACCCAGAAGTGCCCTCCGAGCTGTTTTGACGACTTCCGTCTTCTACAGATGCTGTTGTAATGGACCAAGAGCCTGCAGGGAACAGAACAGTGAACAGGGAGGTAGGTGCTCCTCAGCCCAGCCTCATGGCTAGTCTTATTCCCAAAGAGTCCTGAAAAATGTGAGCACCCTCCCTCACTCAGCATTTCCCTCCCTCCAGGACTCTGATGAACAAGACCCTCAGGAGGTGACATACGCACAGTTGAATCACTGCGTTTTCACACAGAGAAAAATCACTCGCCCTTCTCAGAGGCCCAAGACACCCCCAACAGATACCAGCGTGTAACACGGAACTTCCAAATGCTGAGCGCAGATCCAAAGTTGTCTTCTGTCCACCAGCACCACAGTCAGGCCTTGATGGGATCTTCTAGGGAGACAATAGCCCTGTCTCAAAACCGGGTTGCCAGCTCCCATGTACCAGCAGCTGGAATCTGAAGGCGTGAGTCTGCATCTTAGGGCATCGCTCTTCCTCACACCACGAATCTGAACATGCCTCTCTCTTGCTTACAAATGTCTAAGGTCCCCACTGCCTGCTGGAGAGAAAACACACTCCTTTGCTTAGCCCACAATTCTCCATTTCACTTGACCCCTGCCCACCTCTCCAACCTAACTGGCTTACTTCCTAGTCTACTTGAGGCTGCGATCACACTGAGGAACTCACAATTCCAAACATATAAGAGGCTCCCTCTTAACACGGCACTTAGATACATGCTATTCCACCTTTCCTCATGTTGTTCCACCTTTCCTCAGAGTATCTTTCAGCCTTCTGTCAGCAGTAAAACTTATAAATTTTTTTTATAATTTCAATGTAGTTTTCTATTCTTCAAGTAAACATGTCTGCCCTCATGGTTTCGTCAATGGGACTCTTTTCTTGCCTAAGGCTTCCGGTGTTATCATTACCACGTCCACATAACCCCATCTGTTCTCCGCTGGGTTCTCACCCCTGGACTCTGAGCTTCTGGAAGCAGGGTGGAGCCTGAATTGTCTCTGAGACTCCAGTTTCCATCCAAAGATGCAGCACATAGGAGGTTCCAAGGATGGTGAATCAGATGAACAAGTGATATTCTTACTCTCTGCAGATCTGGAAAGCTGGCAGAGTCATTCCACGATGAAACATTTGTAGAGTCATAGGCCTTGTTAGTCTCATCTCCACAGGGACACGTATCAACACATCATCTTTCATACTACTATAAATAGACAGTCACTCCTCCATATCTCTGGGGTTTACACATGTTTATTGAATCAGCAATAAATCAAAAATATTTTGAGAAAAAAAATCCCCGAAGTTTCAAAAAGCAAAAAACTATGTTGAATCGACACAAATTGAGTGGCGTGTAGGCTGTGTCAGGAATTATAAGTAATCAAGAGATGATTTCATGTATACAGGAGGATGTGCATGGGTTCTATGCAATTGCTATGCTATTTTTTTTTTTGAGACAGTCTCACTCTCTCACCCAGGCTGGAGTGCAGTGGCGTGATCTCAACTCACTGCAACCTCCGCCTTCCAGGTTCAAGCGATTCTCTTCCCTCAGCCTCCTCAGTAGCCTCCCCTAGGATTACAGGCACGTGCCACCCTGCACAGATAAATTTTTTTGTGTGTGTATTTTTAGTAGAGACGGGGTTTCAGAATGTTGGACCAGCTGGTCTTGAACTCCTGACCTTGTGATCTACCCAGCTCAGCCTCCCAAAGTGCTGGGATTACGGGCGTGAGCCACGGTGCCCAGCTTCACTATGCCATTTCATGCAAGGGGCTTGAGCATCTGCAGATTTTGGTATCTGAATGGGGATCCTGGAACCAATCACCCAGGTATAGTGAAGGACCATGGTATATAATTTTTATTTGTCAATCTTAAAAATAAAGCATAAAAAATTTACAACAACAAGATAAAAAATAAGAAGTGTTTTTATAGTGTGAGGATAAGTTTAGATTTATTTTTTCCTACGTGTAACCCTATGGTCCTGTGTTATTTGTTGAGAAAATATTCTATTCCACCTTAAACTACATGGCAGCCTTTGTCAACTATAAAGGGACTGTGTATCCACAGATGTATTTTAGACACAGTTTTCTGTCCAGTGGTTCTCTGTATCCCCTCTCATGAGGATGCTGCATTTTATATAAACTTATAGAACCCCTTAAAATTTGGTAACCTGAGTCCTCTGATTTGTTATTATAGGTTATTTAGTTTGCTTTTTTTTTTTCTTGAGACAGACTCTTCCTCTGTCACCCAAGCTGGAGTTCAGTGGCTTGAGCTCAGCTCACTGCAACCTCCGCCTCCCAGGTTCAAGCTATTCTGATGCCTCTGGTTTAGTACTAGAAACTCAAGCAGGAAAATTAGAATGGCTTCTTGTCACAATTACTCTGATAATGTTAATAATACCTGTTAGACATTTTGCACATTACATATGAAGAAGAGTTTGAATCTCAGATAAAAACAAAAATACATCAAAAATCTTTAATGTAAGCACAGAATTCAATCATCTCGTGTATGAGAGGTTGGATCTGAGACGTCTTTTGAGTCTGGTCGTAGTGAAGGACGCAAGGTGTCAATTCTAGTGAGAACAATTTCCAGGAAGCCATGTTCCGCTCTTGAGCGAGCACCCACTGGGCCTCATGCAAGGTAGAAAGAGCCTGCGTACGTCACCCTCCCATGATGTGGTCAACATGTAAACTGCATGGGCAGGGCGCCAAATAACATCCTGTGCGCTGCTGAGCTGAGCTGGGGCGCGGCCGCCTGTCTGCACAGACAGCACCATGTCGCTCATGGTCGTCAGCATGGCGTGTGTTGGTGAGTCCTGGAAGGGAATCGAGGGAGGGAGTGCGGGGATGGAGATCGGGGCCCAGAGTTGGAGATATAGGCCTGGAAGTGGAGTTATGGGCCTAGAGATGGAGTGATGGGCCTAGAAGTGGAGATCTGGGCCTGGAGTGGAGATATGGGCCTGGAGGTTGAGATATGGGCCTGCAGTAGAGATATGGGCTTGTAGTGGAGACATGGGCCTGGAGATGGAGATATGGGCCTGGAGATGGAGATATGGGCCTGCAGTAGAGATATGGGCCTGGAGTGGAGATATGGGCCTGGAGTGGAGATATGGATCTGGAGGTGGAGATACGGGCCTGCAGTAGAGATATGGGCCTGGAGTGGAGATATGGGCCAGGAGTGGAGTTATGGGCCTAGAGGTGGATATCTGGGCCTGGAGTGGAGATATGGGCCTAGGAAGGAGATATGGGCCTGGGTGTGGAGATATGGGACTGGAGAGGTGATATGGGCCTGGAGTGGAGATATGGGCTTAGGGTGGAGATCTGGGCCTGGGGCAGAGATATGGGACTGGATTGGAGATATGGGCCTAGGGTGGAAATATCAGCCTGGAGTGGAGATATGGGCTTGTGGTGGGGATCTGGGCCTGGAAACTGGGTCTCTGCACAGCCGACAGCCCTGTTCTTGGGTGCAGGTAGGCACTGAGGGTGAGTTTAACTTCAGCCCAGGAAGGGCCTGGCTGCCAAGACTCACAGCCCAGTGGGGGCAGCAAGGGAGTCCTGGTTTGCCTGCAGATGGATGGTCCATCATGATCTTTCTTTCCAGGGTTCTTCTTGCTGCAGGGGGCCTGGCCACATGAGGGTGAGTCCTTCTCCAAACCTTCGGTTGTCATCTCCCCACATAAGAGGATTTTCCTGAAACAGGAGGGAAGTCCTGTCAGGGAGTCTCTCATAAACTGGGAAGAGAGGACCCTGGGGTGCTCGGCCCACATTTCTGACCTTGCCTCCCTGGCCTCTCAACCCCTTGGCAGAGTCAAGTTCTGTGGGGACCAGGGTTAGACTGGGGTGCTCAAAGCTGGGGTGTGTGGTGGGGAAGTGGTAGGAACAGCAGATCCTCTGAGGACAAAGGTGTTACTCACACACTTCAGCGTTTCCATGATGGTAGGGGCTGCAGTGTGGCTGCTGTCATTCTACCAGAAGAGGTGGGAAACCACAGCCATGGCCCTGACATTCCAAATCCTCTGATGGGGGCTCAGTTGTTTATTTTCGTTCAGGCATCCGCTGATATCCACTCACAAAGGACATGCCCTCCACCTCATGTCTACCCTGTGTTGTTTTATGTGAGTAATCTTACAGTATTAAAATCTAGTAGGAGTCTCTTTACTCAGCACTTGCTCAAAGTTCTCAGCTGAGGCTTTTGTTGTAGGGAGACACCATGTCTTTGCGGGATGGGTCCTTCCTTCAGCCCTGGGCACCAAGGTGTGATAGTAGCCATAGAAACGTGGAAAGCGAGGAGAATCTTCTGAGCACAGGGAGGGAGGGGCAGTTCCACATCCTCCTCTCTAAGGCGGCGCCTCCTTCTCCCCAAGGTGGTCAGGACAAGCCCTTGCTGTCTGCCTGGCCCAGCCTTGTGGTGCCTCTAGGACATGTCATTCTTCGGTGTCACTCTTATCTTGGGTTTAACAACTTCAGTCTGTACAAGGAAGGTGGGGTGCCTGTCCCTGAGCTCTACAACAGAATATTCTGGAACAGCCTTTTCATGGGCCCTGTGACCCCCGCACAACAGGGACATACAGATGTCGGGGTTCACACACACACTCCCCCAGTGGGTGGTCAGCACCCAGCAACCCCCTGGTGATCGTGGTCATAGGTCAGAGGGCTCCTGTCTTGGATTCTCCTTGTCCCACCTCCTGAATCCCAGAGCTTCTGGTGGGCATGTCCTTGAGGGTCCCATCACGCAGGCCCTGACTGTATTTGTGGTAAAGGGGGATTGAATACAGGGAAATGGGTGCTGTGGTGGGAAGAATAATTGTCCCCAGTGATGACTACATTCTAATCCCTGGAGTCTGTGACTATGTATGTTATAGGGGAAGGGACTGAAGGGGAAGATGGAGCTCATGGGGAGACAGCCTGGACTGTCCCACTGGGCTCAGTGTAATCACAAGGGTGCACATGAAAGGAGGAGGAAGAGGGGAGTGGGGATTAGAGCAGTCCAGTGGAAGTCTTCACCAGCTTTGAAGGTGGAGGAAGGCCAAGAGCCATGAATGCAGGTGGCCTATAGAGGCTGGAAAAGTCAAGGAACTGATTCTCCAGAGTCTCCAGAGGAAACGAAGCCCTGCAGATGCCTTGATTTTAGCCCAGGAAAAATAGGGTCCAATTTCTGTCTCCAGTACTGGAAGGTGTCAGTGTGGTCTCTCCTGCTTCCATGCTTCTGATAATTTTGTACAGCAGCAACAGGAAACCAACACTGGAACCCAGGTCAAGGACAAGTTAAGAAACAACCCAAGGAAAGCCAGGCATGGTGGCAGGCGCATGTAATCCTAGCGACTCAGGAGGCTGAGGGCAGGAGAATCACTTGAACCCAGGAAACAGAGGTTGCAGTGAGCCTAGACCACACCACTTCACTCCAGCCTGGGTGAAGGAGTGAGACTCTGTCTCCAAAATTAATTAATTAATTAAAGAAACCAAACAAGGAGAAGGTTGGCTACCCTGAGATCAGCAAGGGTGGGATGATGATGCCACCACCAGGCTCCATCCACATAGGGAGGGGTTGATACTCCTCCAACCAGCACCAGGAGCCAGCCTATGGAAGCTGGCACCATGGAGAAGGCACAGGCATGGCAAGAGTGGCTCCCAGTCCCGACCAGGAACAGGGTGTGTGGACACTGGTGCCTGCCTTATTCATCAGTTCATACCTTCTGCCAAGGATTGCAATTCATCCAAAAGAGATTGAACAAGGCTGATAAGAGCCTGGATGTGCAGCCTATCCTGGTTCCTCTTTCACCCCCACATAAACAGCAGGAAAGACGTTAGTGTGAAATAGATACAACACCCCAAGAGATGAGGCTAAGCCCAGTGGGAAGGGAATCAGAGGCTACTAGAGACAGAGGGACAGAGAAGAGGGAGGGAGACAGATGGAAGGACCTGCACCAGGAGTTATGGGCACAGAAAAGAACATGAAGACACAGAGAGGAAGGAGAGAGACAGACACCAGCAAGGGGAAGCCTCACTCATTCTAGGTGCCATGGATGGGATGATAAAGAGAGACACCTTCTAAACTCACAACCTCTCTTCTTAGGAGTCCACAGAAAACCTTCCCTCCTGGCCCACCCAGGTCCCCTGGTGAAATCAGAAGAGACAGTCATCCTGCAATGTTGGTCAGATGTCAGGTTTGAGCACTTCCTTCTGCACAGAGAGGGGAAGTATAAGGACACTTTGCACCTCATTGGAGAGCACCATGATGGGGTCTCCAAGGCCAACTTCTCCATCGGTCCCATGATGCAAGACCTTGCAGGGACCTACAGATGCTACGGTTCTGTTACTCACTCCCCCTATCAGTTGTCAGCTCCCAGTGACCCTCTGGACATCGTCATCACAGGTGAGAGTGTCCGGACATTCTCATTGTCATTGGGCTGCAGAGTGAATGATCCACGACTTGGAACCCCCAGGTAGTTGTAAGGAAGATGAGCTTGGTATTCTTATGGAGAGAGACTGACTTGCTGAGGTTTGTACCAACAGAGACAGAGAAACAGGAGACACAAGTACAGACCAGGTGTCATAACGGAGGACAGACACAGGGGCCATACAGGGAGTTAGAAAAGACAGAAAGAGTTAAAGGAGACAGACAGACAGACATGTCCCAGAGAGAGGTGTCCCTCCATGCTGACTTTGCTCACAGACCTGGCACAGGATAGAAGTTTCATTTCTGTTTTACCTCCACAAAGTGTTCTCTACCAGGAGAACCCAAGGACACCCATATTTCTGACCTGAGTTGGGCCCTGTGGCCTCAGGCCTTGTGGCACCTACAGGCCATGTTTATTCTGACACCTCTGCCTTCCATGTAATGGAGAGTAACCGTCCCAGGATATCATGGCCCCAGAACACCAACCCCTGTATGCTGTGTGAACTTGTGGTCTCCAGACTGGATTCTGAGGCTCACATTCCAAATAACCCCACATATGAAAGGATCACTGAGAGGCACAGAGAGAAATCAGGAACACCAAAAAGCAAAGACATAAACACACAGAGAATGGGCCAGAGGAAGGAGATTGAGAGACTCACTGACACATAAAGAGAGAGAAAAGAGGGCAGAGGAGTGGTGAGAATGATGGAAGGGAGCAGAGAAAAGCACTAAAATTAGAGTCCTGAGGGAGAGGCACAAGGACATAGAAAGATGGAGATGTGGGGATGAACTGCAGAGATTCCAAAGAGAACTAGAGAGACCGAGAGGCAGAGCAAGACAGATGATAGATGGATAGATATAGATAGATGATAAATAGGTAGATGATAGATAATAGGTTAAAGATACATAGATGATGATTGATTGATTCATTAATAGATAATACATAGAGATGATGATGATGAAGACAGATAGATAATACGTACAGATAGAGAGGCAGACAGAAATCATAGAGAGAGAGATGATACATACATATAAATAACAGATGATTGATGGATAGATAGACAACTGATAGATACATAGATGATATATAGATATAGATGACAGGTAGAGAATTTGTAGATAGGCACCGAATAGATAAATAGATAGATCGACAGATAATAGATAGAAATATGCAGAAAGTTATGAACAGGACACAACGTGAGAAACTTAGAATTTAAAAAAGTAACATCAAGTCAACCAATCCAAGGAGAGTCAGAGAGAATAAAAGAATCCAAAAAGGGAAAACATATCTAGAGGTGGGGAAGCGAGGTCAGAGACCTAGAGAGACAGAGAAGGTGGAAGGAGGAAATAGACATGAAGAGAGATGGGGTGGAGGGTGAGAGAGAGAGAGAGAGAGCATTAGGTCATAGAGCAGGGGAGTGAGTTCTCAGCTCAGGTGAAGGGAGCTGTGACAAGGAAGATCCTCCCTGAGGAAAATGCCTCTTCTCCTTCCAGGTCTATATGAGAAACCTTCTCTCTCAGCCCAGCCGGGCCCCACGGTTTTGGCAGGAGAGAGCGTGACCTTGTCCTGCAGCTCCCGGAGCTCCTATGACATGTACCATCTATCCAGGGAGGGGGAGGCCCATGAACGTAGGTTCTCTGCAGGGCCCAAGGTCAACGGAACATTCCAGGCCGACTTTCCTCTGGGCCCTGCCACCCACGGAGGAACCTACAGATGCTTCGGCTCTTTCCGTGACTCTCCCTATGAGTGGTCAAACTCGAGTGACCCACTGCTTGTTTCTGTCACAGGTGAGGAAACCCCATATCTGTCTCATGTCCTATGATCCTAGAGCCTTAGCTGAGGAGCTTCCTGCTGATGATGGAGAGAAGCATGGACAGATGCAGAGAGAAGACGAAGCTTGGGTGTGAGGGAGGGATCAGGGCACAGGATGGCAGACAGGGCACCTCCAAACCCTCCTACACGGCCTGCATGAAGGCCCGCGGCCAGGGCTCCAGGCACACAGGCAGATGGAGAAAACGGTCAGGAGAGACCCAGAGGAGAGAGACTGGGCTCAGTTTGGGAAGATCAGAGGTTCCCTCAGCCCCTCAACATTATCCATTTCCCAGAAGCCCATCCTGGCCTCTCACCCACACAGGGATGTCATCACCAGCAACCCCTACACCCTTTACTTTTGTTTGAAGAAATATTTATTGAGGATAAATATACCTATATAGCTTACCACCTTTAACATTTTTTTTTTTTTTGAGGCAGAGTCTAGCTCTGTCCCCTATGCTGGAGTGCAGTGGCACAATCTCAGCTCACTGCAATTTCCGCCTCCTGGGTTCAAGCGATTCTCTTGCCTCAGCCACCTGAGTAGCTGGTGCTACAGGCGCGCACCACCACGCCAGGCTACTTTTTGTATTTTTAGTAGAGAGGTGGTTTCACCATGTTGGTCGAGCTGGTCTCCAACTCCTGACCACGTGATCCACCCGCATGTGCCTCCCAAAGTGCTGGGATTACAGGCATGAGCCACCACGCCCAGCCACATTTACCATTTTTAAGTGTAAAGTCTAGTGGTCATAAATACATTTATATATATATATTTTTTTTTTTTTTTTTTACCCTCCACCCTTTTCTTCCTGGCCTCTGGAAGCCATCATTCTACTCTCTACCTTCATGAGATCCACCTTTTAGCTCTGTATATGGGTGAGAAATGGGAATCTTTGTAATGACTTCCAGTTCCATCCATGTGGCTGCAAATATCAGGATGTTATTCTTTCTATGGATGAGTAGTCTCCACTGTGCGTATGTACTACATTCTCTCTATCCATTCATCCACTGATGGGCAGGTAGGTTGACTCCACATCTTGGCTACTGTGAACAGTGCTGCACCAATCATACGAGTGCAGATATCACTTCGATATATTGATTTACTTTCCTTTGGATATAAACCCAGTAGTGAAATTGCTGGATACTATGAAAGTTCTCTTTTTAGTTTTTCGTTTGTTGTTTTGTTTTTGTTTTTGAGACAGTTTCCCTCTGTGCCCAGGCTGGAGTACAAGTGATGTCATCTTGGCTCATTGCAACCTCTGCCTCCTGGGTTCAAATGATTTTCCTGCCTCAGCCTCCCTAGTAGCTGGGATTACAGGTGCACGCCACCATGCCTGGCTACTTTTTGTTTTTTTTAGTATAGATGGGGTTTCCCCATGTTGGCTGGGCTGCTCTCAAACTCATGACCTCAACTGAGATGCCCGCCTCAGTCTCCCAAAGTGCCGGGATTACAGGCCTGATCCACCACACCCAACCTCTTTTTAGTTCTTTAAAGGACTTCCATACTTTTCTCCGTAATCGCTGTACTAATTTACACTCCTCCCAACAGGGTACCAGGGTTCTCCTTTCTCTACCACCTTGCCAGCATTTCTTTTGCCTGTCTTGCAGCTAAAAGCCATTTTATTTTATTTCATTTTATTTTGAGATGGAGTTTTGCTCTTCTCACCCAGGCAGGAGTGCAGTGGCGCTATCTCGGCTCACCACAACCTCCACCTCCCAGGTTCAAGCGATTCTCCTGCCTCAGCCTCCCGAGTAGCTGGAATTACAGGCACACTCCACCACGCCCGACTAATTTTTGTATTTTTAGTAGAGACAGTGTTTCTCTATGTGGGTCAGACTGGTCTCAAACTCCTGACCTTATGAGATTCACCCACCTCAGGCTCTCAAAGTTCTAGGATGACAGACGTGAGCCACCACGCCCGGCCTAAAAGCCATTTTAATGGGGTGAGATGAAAACTCACTTTGATTTTAATTTGCGTTTCTCTGATGATGAGTGATACTGAGCACTTTTTAGTATGTGGGGAAATTTCATGTCTTCTGCTCCTTTTTCAATTAAATCATTTGTTTTATTGAGTTGTTTGAGCTTCTTATATTTCTAGTTATTAATCCCATCTCAGATGCATAGTTTGCACATATTTGCTCCCAATCTGTGGGTTGTCTCTTCACTTTGTTGGTTTATTTTTAGCAGTGCAGAAGTTGCTTAGTTTGAGGTAATCCCAATGGTCTATTTTTGCTTCGATTACTTGTGTTTTCAAGGTTTAAAACAAAATGTCTTTCTTCAGACAAATGTCCTGGAGCATTTCCCCAATATTTTGTTCTACGTGTTTCATAGGTTCAGGCCTTAGACTCACATCTTTAATCCATTTTCATTTGATTTTTGTGTATGGTGACAGGTAGAGGTGCAGTTTCATTCCTCTGCATGTCGATGTCCAGGTTTCCCTGCACTGTTTATTGAAAAGACTGTCCTTTCCTGATTGTGAGTTCTTGGCACCTTTGTCAAAGTCCATTGGATGGGCTGGGCTTGGTGGCTGACACCTGCAATTTCAGCACTTTGGGAGGCCGAGGCGGGTGGATTACCTGAGGCCAGGAGTTCAAGATCAGTCTGGACGACGTGATGAAACATCGTCTCCACTAAAAATATAAAAATTAGCTGAGCATGGTGGTCAGCACCTGTAATACCACTACTCAGGAGTTTGAGGCAAGAGAATGATTGAACCCAGGAGGCTGAGGTTGCAGTGAACTGAGATTGCACCTCTGCACTCCAGCCTGAGTGACAGAGCAAGACTCCATCTCAAAAGAAAAAATAAAAAACCATTGGATGTAAATGCATGGAATATATCTGTGTTATTCATTCTGCTCCGTTGTTCTATGTCCCTTTCTTTATGCCAATGTCATGCTGTTTTGCTTACTACAGCTCTGTAACATATTTTGAGATCAGGTAGTGTGATGCTCCTGTTTTCTCTTTATACCTTGAAGTCTCAAGACAGTGGGCGTCACATAAAAAAATTATGGAAAAAAGGATCCCAGGACTCCCAGGGCCCAATATTAGATAACAGAGTGTTGGCCATGAACCATCCTCAAAGATTTCCACTGAGTAGAGGACAGACACCCTCATTTCCTCACCTCTCTCCTGTCTCATGTTCTAGGAAACCCTTCAAATAGTTGGCCTTCACCCACTGAACCAAGCTCCAAAACCGGTGAGTACAGAACCCTCTTATATCCGCTTTTGGAAACCTGGGGAGGTGGAAACCTTGGATTCAGGCGTTGACTCAGCATCTCACAGCTCTGACATTGTACCCCTGTCTTCCACCATCTCCGAACTCCAGATACTCCTACAGCGAAAGGGATCTGGGTCCAACACAGGGCTCAGTGAAATCTCTTCATCTCTCATTTTATGGAGCTGAGACTTCCTACAAGCTAGAAGAATGATTGCCAATCTGACATCCTTCTCAGGAAAAATGCAATGTTTGTTCTGCCTGCATTCCTAACTGGAGGATAAATTCCTGGAGACTTGAGAGAGGGAAGGGAAGGGAACATCTGATGAGGGCGAGGTGTTTTAGAGAAGTTCCACTTGCCAAGGAATGAGCTCCTATAGGTCATGAAGCAACCCTGGCTGACTCAGCAGAGAAAGAGCCTTGCTGTAACAGAGAACAGAGCTCATGCACGCACACTTCGACTCACTGACTCATTCAGCCACGGCCCCATGCTCAGGCTGTGCACTGTGGAAGCTTTTCCTATTGTTGCCATAACAAATTTCCACAAGATTCGTGGGTGAAAACAAAACGGTTTTTTAATTATCTTACAGTGCTGTAGCTCAAAGTATGAAGTGCATCTCACTGGGCTAAAATCAAGGTGACAGCAAGGCTGCCTTCCCTCTGAGGATTCCAGGCAAGAATCTGCTTCTCACTTTTCTCAGCTTCTAGAGGCTCCCACATTCCTTCGCTCCTGGTCCCCTTCCTCCTTCCTCAAAGCCCACAAAGACTGGTCACATCTCACATGGCATCACTCAGACCCTTCTTCCTTACCACACCTCTTTCTCTGAATGCTGCTCTCCCTTCTTCCTCATCTTTTGAAAACTTGGGGATTCTATTGGGTTCACCAAGATGAAAATCCATCATAATCTCCCGGAAATCATTCAGGATACCCTTGTTTTAAGTTCAGCTGATTAGCAACCATAATTCCATCTGCAATCTTCATTCCTCCTTTCCATGTAAAATAAGATATTCACAAGCTATGGAGGCTAGGACAGGGACATTTTGGGGTGGGACAGCATTCTCCTGCCTTCCACAAACAGTGAACAAGATGCATTTGGCCTCTGCTCTTTGGACACTGATATTGCAGATGGTTAAATGGGAGGGCAGAAAATGAATGCACAAGTGGACCAATAAATGAATGATCCATTGGGAAGCATCTGTGTATGAAATCTATTTGTTTGTTTCTTCATTTGTTTATTGAGACAGAGTCTCCCTCTGTCTTCCAGGCTACAGTGCAGTGTCACCATCTTGGCTCACTGCAACCTGCACCTTCTGGATCCAAGTGATTCTCCTGCGTCAGCCTCTCAAGTAGCTGGGATTACAGGCAACTGCCACCATGCCCGGCTAATTCTTTTTGTATATTTTTTGTAGAGGATGTTTCACCATCTTCGCCAAGCTTCTCTGAAACTCCCAACCTCAAGTGATCCGACCGTCTCAGCATCCTAAAGTACTGGGATAACTGGCGTGAGCCACTGTGCCCAGCCAGAATTTAAAATAAATAATACATAATGCTGAGTGTATGATTTTGGGTGACAGAGAAGATCTCACTAATCAGATATTTGTGACATTAATGAAAAACACGGATTGAACCCCTGAAAGATTGGCGGAAGGATTTTCCACACACAGCTGTCAGCCGTGAAGGCAGAAAGCTGAAAACAATCTGATGTGGAAGGAAGAGGCTCTGCCTCAAATGCTGGGAATGAGGTGGGGAGAATGACAAGACGACTGTGGAGAGACGGAGAGCACACTGGGTACACAGGAAACTAAGGAGCAACAAGGAGTGTGTGTTTGACACTCACAGCCATTGGATTCACCTCGGGGTAGCCAGGAATCCCTACATGATTAATAGTGACTGACATGAAAATAAGGGAGGCCCAGGTGCGTAACTGGAATCTAGGAGACTGTGGAAAAGGCAATTCCCGCCCCACTGGTGAAATGTGGTGCTGATTTAGACCCTAACTGGGTGAAGCAGATGGATATAAGCTATGCTTGTGAGGTGGAATCATTGGCTGGAAAGGCTTGCTGGGTATGATTTTCCTAGTTGTCTAATCCTCGCTTAATTTCTTTCTGAGCTTTATTCCTACTACACATAAATCAATACCTGGCAAAGGAGTGACAGATATATGAGGGGTGGTGGAAATGAAGGGACCTATTATAGCATAATATACAAGTCTGTGAACGGTGGCTCACGCCTGTAACCCAGCACTGCAGGAGGCCAAGGCGGGTGGATCACATGAAGTCAGCAGTTCGAGACCAGCCTGGCCAACATGGTGAAACCCTGTCTCTAGGAAAAACACAAAAATTAGCCGAGCATGGTGGTGCATCCCTGTAATCCCAGCTCCTACTCTGGAGGATGAAGCAGGAGAATGACTTCAACCCAGGAGGTGGAGGTTGCAGTGAGTGGAGATTGCATCACTGCACTCCAGCCTGGGTGACACAAGGAGACTCCGTCTCAAAAAATAAAAATAAGAAATGCATAAATATAAATATAATATAACACATGCAAATGAGAAAGGGACCTGAATTCCAATCATGATTTTTCTATTTCTCTATAATTACTTCTTTGATCCTTTATCTTATCCATTAGGCAATGAGCCTAAAACCTCTTCCCTATTTGGCTTTCTGTGAGCATGAGATCATATAGAAAATGTGAAAGCCCGCTGAATCCTCCAGCACAGATCCTGGAATACACAAAGTGCTCTGTTCATCACAAGAAAACATGCCCTCTCACCCAAATCCCCCACCTCACCCCTACTTCCAATCATCTGTGGAGATTCAGATAGGCCATGGGGAGGTAAATTCTAATACTCCTTGGAGTGAGTCCAGATCTTGGAATCAGAGATTAGCGTCAGCAGTAGCTCCTGCTCCCCTTTCCTACTAATTCACAGGAGGACAGGTGGTATTGAAGCAATAGATGGCCGAGGGGGTGGTCCTTCCCCCAGCCTCTCGGGTAGAACAGCAACCTAACATGTGTCTCCTGAGATCACAAAGAGTAGCACGTTTCACATGGGCTTCAACACTGTTTCCTGGCCATTTGACATAAGAGAATTCTACTTCGCTTTTTTTATCTTGATTTCACTTTTGTTTCCTTTTCTTGGAGAATGCAAGTTGTTTGACTCAAGAATGCCGTGGATGTAGAAATCCTAAAGCACAGTCGCTGTGTATCAATCCCAGTGCAGTCTTCCCAGAGAAGACTCTAAACACCTCCTGGACTGCACCTGGGCCTATGCCAATTCCTATCACTCACCGTCACTCCAGGGAGACAGAACACACAGAGAATACATTACACAGGCAGGTTCATTACTAACAGATAAGCAGCGAGTGACAACAGAAGCCTACATTTCAATGTGAGCCAGTCCCTCAAGGCTCAGAAAAGCTGCTCGGGACATATGGAGTCACCCCATTTGCAGTGTAGCTGGGGGAAGCCAGAAAGCAGCCCAGCCTGGGTTTTGTACCCTGGAGCCACAGGAAGCACTCAGCTAAAGCACTGCATGACGCCTTCCTCCAGGAAGAACAGGAAGACAGCCCAGGCTGTTCTGAGACATTCCTCCTGATCTCAGGTCGTTGCTGTCTTAGTTTTTTTTTTTGTTGCTCTGAAGGAACACTTGAGCCTCGGTAACTTCTAAAGAAAAGAGATCGGTTTGCCTCACAGTTCTGCAGGCTGTACTGGAAGCATGGCACCAGAATCTATTTCTCGTGATGGCCTCAGGCTGCTCCCACTCTGGCAGAAGGGAAGGAGGGTCTGTCTGTGCAGAGACCACAGAGATCACACGGCAAGAGAGAGAGTAAGGGGGAGAGGGAGCAATGGAGCTTCCAAGCTCTTTTTAACAACCAGCTGTCCAGGAACTAACAGAGGGGGAACTTGCTAACCCCGTCTCCTTGGGACAGCATTGATCTGTTCATGATGGATCCACCTCCATGACCCAAACACCTCTGAAGAGGCCCAACCTCCCACAATGGGGGTGAAATTTCAATGTGAGGTTTGAAGGGGTCAAACATCTCAACTAAAGTAGTTGTATCCTCAGCACGTTCTATGGTTACTATGAGAGCTATAATTGAGAAAGCAGGGGAAAGCTAGGTCTCCCGCCATTTGGGTGCTTGTCCTAAAGAGACGTTGTATGTGGTTACCTGCCAATCAAGAAATGCGAGACAATTCATAAAGAGGAACTGCTATGATTAGCTTCTTATTGGTGTCTCCTCTTCTTCCAGGTAACCCCAGACACCTGCATGTTCTGATTGGGACCTCAGTGGTCAAAATCCCTTTCACCATCCTCCTCTTCTTTCTCCTTCATCGCTGGTGCTCCAACAAAAAAAGTAAGTCTCACGAAGCAGAGGCCAGAGAGCTCAGGGCCATGTGGGGAAGCAGGATGGGAGCACTCAGGTGTGTGTTCCTCACCAGCAGGATGGTCCCTGGCCCAAGACAGGAGCCACAGAGGCAGGACTTTCTAGAGAGAGCACCAGATTCCCTTCCCCTGCCTTCAGCTCACAGACCGTTGCCTGATTCTGAACTGTACCCTCACGTCCCCTGCAGCCACTCACATCCAGGAGAAGGTTCCATGACAGGCAGAAAGTGGGAGATAGAATCAATGGGATGGGAACTCAGAGCTATTCATGGGATGGGTCCTTGAACTCAGAGAGATAGAATGTCTGAGTCTGCTGTTGGCAACTGAGGGACCTCAGGCACCTATGGCCTCCCCCTGTTTGTTGGTATCTGCTTATGAAATGAGGACCCAGAAGTGCCCTCCGAGCTCTTTTGTTGACTTCCGTCTTCTACAGATGCTGCTGTAATGGACCAAGAGCCTGCAGGGAACAGAACAGTGAACAGCGAGGTAGGTGCTCCTCGGCCCAGCCTCGTGGCTAGTCTTATTCCCAAAGAGTCCTGAAAAATGTGAGCACCCTCCCTCACTCAGCATTTCCCTCTCTCCAGGATTCTGATGAACAAGACCATCAGGAGGTGTCATACGCATAATTGGATCACTGTGTTTTCACACAGAGAGAAATCACTCGCCCTTCTGAGAGGCCCAAGACACCCCCAACAGATACCAGCATGTACATAGAACTTCCAAATGCTGAGCCCAGATCCAAAGTTGTCTTCTGTCCACGAGCACCACAGTCAGGCCTTGAGGGGATCTTCTAGGGAGACAACAGCCCTGTCTCAAAACCGGGTTGCCAGCTCCCATGTACCAGCAGCTGGAATCTGAAGGCATCAGTCTTCATCTTAGGGCATCGCTCTTCCTCACACCACGAATCTGAACATGCCTCTCTCTTGCTTACAAATGTCTAAGGTCCCCACTGCCTGCTGGAGAGAAAACACACTCCTTTGCTTAGCCCACAATTCTCCATTTCACTTGACCCCTGCCCACCTCTCCAACCTAACTAGCTTACTTCCTAGTCTACCTGAGGCTGCAATCACACTGAGGAACTCACAATTCCAAACATACAAGAGGCTCCCTCTTAACACAGCACTTAGACACGTGCTGTTCCACCTCCCTTCAGACTATCTTTCAGCCTTCTGCCAGCAGTAAAACTTATAAATTTTTTAAATAATTTCAATGTAGTTTTCCCGCCTTCAAATAAACATGTCTGCCCTCATGGTTTCGGTAACGAGACTCTTCTCTTGCCTAAGGCTTCCGGTGTTATCATTACCATGTCCACATAACCCCATCTGTTCTCCATTGGGTTCTCAGCCCTGGACTCTGAGCTTCTGGAAGCAGAATGGAGCCTGAATTGTCTCTGAGACTCCAATTTCCATCCAAAGATACAGCACATAGGAGGCTCCAAGGATCGTGAATCACATGAACAAGTGATATTCTTACTCTCTGCAGACCTGGAAAGCTGGCAGAGTCATTCCACGATGAAACATTTGTAGAGTCATAGGCCTTGTTAGTCTCATCTCCACGGGGACACATATCAACATATCATCTTTCATAATATAAATATACAGTCGGTCCTCCATATCTGTGGGGTTTACAGGTGTTTATTGAACCAACAATAAATCAAAAATATTTTGAGAAAAAAATCCCCGAAGTTTCAAGAAGCAAAAAACTATGTTGAATCGACACAAATTGAGTGGCGTGTAGGCTGTGTCAGGAATTATAAGTAATCAAGAGATGATTTCATGTATACAGGAGGATGTGCATGGGTTCTATGCAATTGCTATGCTATTTTTTTTTTTTGAGACAGTCTCACTCTCTCACCCAGGCTGGAGTGCAGTGGCGTGATCTCAACTCACTGCAACCTCCGCCTCCCAGGTTCAAGCGATTGTCTTCCCTCAGCCTCCCCAGTAGCCTCCCCTAGGATTACAGGCACGTGCCACCATGCACAGATAAATTTTTTTGTGTGTGTATTTTTAGTAGAGACGGGGTTTCAGAATGTTGGACCAGCTGGTCTTGAACTCCTGACCTTGTGATCTACCCAGCTCAGCCTCCCAAAGTGCTGGGATTACGGGCGTGAGCCACGGTGCCCAGCTTCACTATGCCATTTCATGCAAGGGGCTTGAGCATCTGCAGATTTTGGTATCTGAATGGGGATCCTGGAACCAATCACCCAGGTATAGTGAAGGACCATGGTATATAATTTTTATTTGTCAATCTTAAAAATAAAGCATAAAAAATTTACAACAACAAGATAAAAAATAAGAAGTGTTTTTATAGTGTGAGGATAAGTTTAGATTTATTTTTTCCTACGTGTAACCCTATGGTCCTGTGTTATTTGTTGAGAAAATATTCTATTCCACCTTAAACTACATGGCAGCCTTTGTCAACTATAAAGGGACTGTGTATCCACAGATGTATTTTAGACACAGTTTTCTGTCCAGTGGTTCTCTGTATCCCCTCTCATGAGGATGCTGCATTTTATATAAACTTATAGAACCCCTTAAAATTTGGTAACCTGAGTCCTCTGATTTGTTATTATAGGTTATTTAGTTTGCTTTTTTTTTTTTCTTGAGACAGACTCTTCCTCTGTCACCCAAGCTGGAGTTCAGTGGCTTGAGCTCAGCTCACTGCAACCTCCGCCTCCCAGGTTCAAGCTATTCTGATGCCTCTGGTTTAGTACTAGAAACTCAAGCAGGAAAATTAGAATGGCTTCTTGTCACAATTACTCTGATAATGTTAATAATACCTGTTAGACATTTTGCACATTACATATGAAGAAGAGTTTGAATCTCAGATAAAAACAAAAATACATCAAAAATCTTTAATGTAAGCACAGAATTCAATCATCTCGTGTATGAGAGGTTGGATCTGAGACGTCTTTTGAGTCTGGTCGTAGTGAAGGACGCAAGGTGTCAATTCTAGTGAGAACAATTTCCAGGAAGCCATGTTCCGCTCTTGAGCGAGCACCCACTGGGCCTCATGCAAGGTAGAAAGAGCCTGCGTACGTCACCCTCCCATGATGTGGTCAACATGTAAACTGCATGGGCAGGGCGCCAAATAACATCCTGTGCGCTGCTGAGCTGAGCTGGGGCGCGGCCGCCTGTCTGCACAGACAGCACCATGTCGCTCATGGTCGTCAGCATGGCGTGTGTTGGTGAGTCCTGGAAGGGAATCGAGGGAGGGAGTGCGGGGATGGAGATCGGGGCCCAGAGTTGGAGATATAGGCCTGGAAGTGGAGTTATGGGCCTAGAGATGGAGTGATGGGCCTAGAAGTGGAGATCTGGGCCTGGAGTGGAGATATGGGCCTGGAGGTTGAGATATGGGCCTGCAGTAGAGATATGGGCTTGTAGTGGAGACATGGGCCTGGAGATGGAGATATGGGCCTGGAGATGGAGATATGGGCCTGCAGTAGAGATAGGGGCCTGGAGTGGAGATATGGGCCTGGAGTGGAGATATGGGCCTGAAGTGGAGATATGGGCCTGGAGGTGGAGATATGGGCCTGGAGGTGGAGATATGGGCCTGGAGTGGAGATATGGGTCTGGAGGTGGAGATACGGGCCTGCAGTAGAGATATGGGCCTGGAGTGGAGATATGGGCCAGGAGTGGAGTTATGGGCCTAGAGGTGGATATCTGGGCCTGGAGTGGAGATATGGGCCTAGGAAGGAGATATGGGCCTGGGTGTGGAGATATGGGACTGGAGAGGTGATATGGGCCTGGAGTGGAGATATGGGCTTAGGGTGGAGTTCTGGGCCTGGGGCGGAGATATGGGACTGGATTGGAGATAGGGGCCTAGGGTGGAGATCTGAGCCTGGATTGGCGATATGGGCCTAGGGTGGAAATATCAGCCTGGAGTGGAGATATGGGCTTGGGGTGGGGATATGGGCCTGGAAACTGGGTCTCTGCACAGCCGACAGCCCTGTTCTTGGGTGCAGGTAGGCACTGAGGGTGAGTTTAACTTCAGCCCAGGAAGGGCCTGGCTGCCAAGACTCACAGCCCAGTGGGGGCAGCAAGGGAGGGCTGGTTCGCCTGCAGATGGATCGTCCATCATGATCTTTCTTTCCAGGGTTCTTCTTGCTGCAGGGGGCCTGGCCACATGAGGGTGAGTCCTTCTCCAAACCTTCGGGTGTCATCTCCCCACATAAGAGGATTTTCCTGAAACAGGAGGGAAGTCCTGTCGGGGAGTCTCTCATAAACTAGGAAGAGAGGACCCTGGGGTGCTCAGCCCACATTTCTGACCTCGCCTCCCTGGCCTCTCAACCCCTTGGCAGAGTCAAGTTCTGTGGGGACCAGGGTTAGACTGGGGTGCTCAAAGCTGGGGTGTGTGGTTGGGAAGTGGTAGGAACAGCAGATCCTCTGAGGACAAAGGTGTTACTCACACACTTCAGCGTTTCCATGATGGTAGGGGCTGCAGTGTGGCTGCTGTCATTCTACCAGAAGAGGTGGGAAACCACAGCCATGGCCCTGACATTCCAAATCCTCTGATGGGGGCTCAGTTGTTTATTTTCGTTCAGGCATCCGCTGATATCCATTCACAAAGGACATGCCCTCCACCTCATGTCTACCCTGTGTTGTTTTATGTGAGTAATCTTACAGTATCAAAATCTAGTAGGAGTCTCTTTACTCAGCACTTGCTCAAAGTTCTCAGCTGAGGCTTTTGTTGTAGGGAGACACCATGTCTTTGCGGGATGGGTCCTTCCTTCAGCCCTGGGCACCAAGGTGTGATAGTAGCCATAGAAACGTGGAAAGCGAGGAGAATCTTCTGAGCACAGGGAGGGAGGGGCAGTTCCACATCCTCCTCTCTAAGGCGGCGCCTCCTTCTCCCCAAGGTGGTCAGGACAAGCCCTTGCTGTCTGCCTGGCCCAGCCTTGTGGTGCCTCTAGGACATGTCATTCTTCGGTGTCACTCTTATCTTGGGTTTAACAACTTCAGTCTGTACAAGGAAGGTGGGGTGCCTGTCCCTGAGCTCTACAACAGAATATTCTGGAACAGCCTTTTCATGGGCCCTGTGACCCCCGCACAACAGGGACATACAGATGTCGGGGTTCACACACACACTCCCCCAGTGGGTGGTCAGCACCCAGCAACCCCCTGGTGATCGTGGTCATAGGTCAGAGGGCTCCTGTCTTGGATTCTCCTTGTCCCACCTCCTGAATCCCAGAGCTTCTGGTGGGCATGTCCTTGAGGGTCCCATCACGCAGGCCCTGACTGTATTTGTGGTAAAGGGGGATTGAATACAGGGAAATGGGTGCTGTGGTGGGAAGAATAATTGTCCCCAGTGATGACTACATTCTAATCCCTGGAGTCTGTGACTATGTATGTTATAGGGGAAGGGACTGAAGGGGAAGATGGAGCTCATGGGGAGACAGCCTGGACTGTCCCACTGGGCTCAGTGTAATCACAAGGGTGCACATGAAAGGAGGAGGAAGAGGGGAGTGGGGATTAGAGCAGTCCAGTGGAAGTCTTCACCAGCTTTGAAGGTGGAGGAAGGCCAAGAGCCATGAATGCAGGTGGCCTATAGAGGCTGGAAAAGTCAAGGAACTGATTCTCCAGAGTCTCCAGAGGGAACAAAGCCCTGCAGATGCCTTGATTTTAGCCCAGGAAAAATAGGGTCCAATTTCTGTCTCCAGTACTGGAAGGTGTCAGTGTGGTCTCTCCTGCTTCCATGCTTCTGATAATTTTGTACAGCAGCAACAGGAAACCAACACTGGAACCCAGGTCAAGGACAAGTTAAGAAACAACCCAAGGAAAGCCAGGCATGGTGGCAGGTGCATGTAATCCTAGCGACTCAGGAGGCTGAGGGCAGGAGAATCACTTGAACCCAGGAAACAGAGGTTGCAGTGAGCCTAGACCACACCACTTCACTCCAGCCTGGGTGAAGGAGTGAGACTCTGTCTCCAAAATTAATTAATTAATTAAAGAAACCAAAGAAGGAGAAGGTTGGCTACCCTGAGATCAGCAAGGGTGGGATGATGATGCCACCACCAGGCTCCATCCACATAGGGAGGGGTTGATACTCCTCCAACCAGCACCAGGAGCCAGCCTATGGAAGCTGGCACCATGGAGAAGGCACAGGCATGGCAAGAGTGGCTCCCAGTCCCCACCAGGAACAGGGTGTGTGGACACTGGTGCCTGCCTTATTCATCAGTTCATATCTTCTGCCAAGGATTGCAATTCATCCAAAAGAGATTGAACCAGGCTGATAAGAGCCTGGATGTGCAGCCTATCCTGGTTCCTCTTTCACCCCCACATAAACAGCAGGAAAGACATTAGTGTGAAATAGATACAACACCCCAAGAGATGAGGCTAAGCCCAGTGGGAAGGGAATCAGAGGCTACTAGAGACAGAGGGACAGAGAAGAGGGAGGGAGACAGATGGAAGGACCTGCACCAGGAGTTAAGGGCACAGAAAAGAACATGAAGACACAGAGAGGAAGGAGAGAGACAGACACCAGCAAGGGGAAGCCTCACTCATTCTAGGTGCCATGGATGGGATGATAAAGAGAGACACCTTCTAAACTCACAACCTCTCTTCCTAGGAGTCCACAGAAAACCTTCCCTCCTGGCCCACCCAGGTCGCCTGGTGAAATCAGAAGAGACAGTCATCCTGCAATGTTGGTCAGATGTCAGGTTTGAGCACTTCCTTCTGCACAGAGAAGGGAAGTTTAAGGACACTTTGCACCTCATTGGAGAGCACCATGATGGGGTCTCCAAAGCCAACTTCTCCATCGGTCCCATGATGCAAGACCTTGCAGGGACCTACAGATGCTACGGTTCTGTTACTCACTCCCCCTATCAGTTGTCAGCTCCCAGTGACCCTCTGGACATCGTCATCACAGGTGAGAGTGTCCGGACATTCTCATTGTCATTGGGCTGCAGAGTGAATGATCCACGACTTGGAACCCCCAGGTAGTTGTAAGGAAGATGAGCTTGGTATTCTTATGGAGAGAGACTGACTTGCTGAGGTTTGTACCAACAGAGACAGAGAAACAGGAGACACAAGTACAGACCAGGTGTCATAACGGAGGACAGACACAGGGGCCATACAGGGAGTTAGAAAAGACAGAAAGAGTTAAAAGAGACAGACAGACAGACATGTCCCAGAGAGAGGTGTCCCTCCATGCTGACTTTGCTCACAGACCTGGCACAGGTTAGAAGTTTCATTTCTGTTTTACCTCCACAAAGTGTTCTCTACCAGGAGAACCCAAGGACACCCATATTTCTGACCTGAGTTGGGCCCTGTGGCCTCAGGCCTTGTGGCACCTACAGGCCATGTTTATTCTGACACCTCTGCCTTCCATGTAATGGAGAGTAACCGTCCCAGGATATCATGGCCCCAGAACACCAACCCCTGTATGCTGTGTGAACTTGTGGTCTCCAGACTGGATTCTGAGGCTCACATTCCAAATAACCCCACATATGAAAGGATCACTGAGAGGCACAGAGAAAAATCAGGAACACCAAAAAGCAAAGACATAAACACACGGAGAATGAGCCAGAGGAAGGAGATTGAGAGACTCACAGACACATAAAGAGAGAGAAAAGAGGGCAGAGGAGTGGTGAGAATGATGGCAGGGAGCAGAGAAAAGCACTAAAATTAGAGTCCTGAGAGAGAGGCACAAGGACATAGAAACATGGAGATGTGGGGATGAATTGCAGAGATTCCAAAGAGAGCTAGAGAGACCGAGAGGCAGAGCAATACAGATGATAGATGGATAGATATAGATAGATGATAAATAGGTAGATGATAGATAATAGGTTAAAGATACATAGATGATGATTGATTGATTCATTAATAGATAATACATAGAGATGATGATGATGAAGACAGATAATACGTACAGATAGAGAGGCAGACAGAAATCATAGAGAGAGAGATGATACATACATATAAATAACAGATGATTGATGGATAGATAGACAACTGATAGATACATAGATGATATATAGATATAGATGACAGGTAGAGAATTTGTAGATAGGCACCGAATAGATAAATAGATAGATCGACAGATAATAGATAGAAATATGCAGAAAGTTATGAACAGGACACAACGTGAGAAACTTAGAATTTAAAAAAGTAACATCAAGTCAACCAATCCAAGGAGAGTCAGAGAGAATAAAACAATCCAAAAACGGAAAACATATCTAGAGGTGGGGAAGCGAGGTCAGAGACCTAGAGAGACAGAGAAGGTGGAAGAAGGAAATAGACATGAAGAGAGATGGGGTGGAGGGTGAGAGAGAGAGAGAGAGAGCATTAGGTCATAGAGCAGGGGAGTGAGTTCTCAGCTCAGGTGAAGGGAGCTGTGACAAGGAAGATCCTCCCTGAGGAAAATGCCTCTTCTCCTTCCAGGTCTATATGAGAAACCTTCTCTCTCAGCCCAGCCGGGCCCCACGGTTCTGGCAGGAGAGAGCGTGACCTTGTCCTGCAGCTCCCGGAGCTCCTATGACATGTACCATCTATCCAGGGAGGGGGAGGCCCATGAATGTAGGTTCTCTGCAGGGCCCAAGGTCAACGGAACATTCCAGGCCGACTTTCCTCTGGGCCCTGCCACCCACGGAGGAACCTACAGATGCTTCGGCTCTTTCCGTGACTCTCCATACGAGTGGTCAAACTCGAGTGACCCACTGCTTGTTTCTGTCACAGGTGAGGAAACCCCATATCTGTCTCATGTCCTATGATCCTAGAGCCTTAGCTGAGGAGCTTCCTGCTGATGATGGAGATAAGCATGGACAGATGCAGAGAGAAGACGAAGCTTGGGTGTGAGGGAGGGATCAGGGCACAGGATGGCAGACAGGGCACCTCCAAACCCTCCTACACGGCCTGCATGAAGGCCCGCGGCCAGGGCTCCAGGCACACAGGCAGATGGAGAAAGCGGTCAGGAGAGACCCAGAGGAGGGAGACTGGGCTCAGTTTGGGAAGATCAGAGGTTCCCTCAGCCCCTCAACATTACCCATTTCCCAGAAGCCCATCCTGGCCTCTCACCCACACAGGGATGTCATCACCAGCAACCCCTACACCCTTTACTTTTGTTTGAAGAAATATTTATTGAGGATAAATATACCTATATAGCTTACCACCTTTAACATTTTTTTTTTTTTTGAGGCAGAGTCTAGCTCTGTCCCCTATGCTGCAGTGCAGTGGCACAATCTCAGCTCACTGCAACTTCCGCCTCCTGGGTTCAAGTGATTCTCCTGCCTCAGCCACCTGAGTAGCTGGTGCTACAGGCGCGCACCACCACGCCAGGCTACTTTTTGTATTTTTAGTAGAGAGGTGGTTTCACCATGTTGGTCGAGCTGGTCTCCAACTCCTGACCACGTGATCCACCCGCATCTGCCTCCCAAAGTGCTGGGATTACAGGCATGAGCCACCACTCCCAGCCACATTTACCATTTTTAAGTGTAAAGTCTAGTGGTCATAAATACATTTATAAATATATATATATATATATATGTATGTATATATATATACACACACATATATATACATATATATATGTGTATATATATATATATATATATATATATATATATATATATTTTTTTTTTTTTTTACCCTCCACCCTTTTCTTCCTGGCCTCTGGAAGCCACCATTCTACTCTCTACCTTCATGAGATCCACCTTTTAGCTCTGTATATGGGTGAGAAATGGGAATCTTTGTAATGACTTCCAGTTCCATCCATGTGGCTGCAAATATCAGGATGTTATTCTTTCTATGGATGAGTAGTCTCCACTGTGCGTATGTACTACATTCTCTCTATCCATTCATCCACTGATGGGCAGGTAGGTTGACTCCACATCTTGGCTACTGTGAACAGTGCTGCACCAATCATACGAGTGCAGATATCACTTCGATATATTGATTTACTTTCCTTTGGATATAAACCCAGTAGTGAAATTGCTGGATACTATGAAAGTTCTCTTTTTAGTTATTCGTTTGTTGTTTTGTTTTTGTTTTTGAGACAGTTTCCCTCTGTGCCCAGGCTGGAGTACAAGTGATGTCATCTTGGCTCATTGCAACCTCTGCCTCCTGGGTTCAAATGATTTTCCTACCTCAGCCTCCCTAGTAGCTGGGATTACAGGTGCACGCCACCATGCCTGGCTACTTTTTGGTTTTTTTAGTATAGATGGGGTTTCCCCATGTTGGCTGGGCTGCTCTCAAACTCATGACCTCAACTGAGGTGTCCGCCTCGGTCTCCCAAAGTGCCGGGATTACAGGCATGATCCACCTCACCCAACCTCTTTTTAGTTCTTTAAAGGACTTCCACACTTTTCTCCGTAAAGGCTGTACTAATTTACACTCCTACCAACAGGGTATTAGGGTTCTCCTTTCTCTACCACTTTGGCAGGATTTCCTTTGCCTGTCTTGCAGCTAAAAGCCATTTTACTTTATTTCATTTTATTTTGAGATGGAGTTTCGCTCTTGTCACCCAGGCTGGAGTGCAGTGGTGCGATCTCGGCTCACCACAACCTTCACCTCCCAGGTTCAAGCGATTCTCCTGCCTCAGCCTCCCGAGTAGCTGGAATTACAGGCACACGCCACCACGCCCGACTAATTTTTGTATTTTTAGTAGAGACAGTGTTTCTCCATGTGGGTCAGACTGGTCTCAAACTCCCGACCTTATGAGATTCACCCACCTCAGGCTCTCAAAGATCTAGGATGACAGACGTGAGCCACCACGCCCGGCCTAAAAGCCATTTTAATGGGGTGAGATGAAAACTCACTTTGATTTTAATTTGCGTTTCTCTGATGATGAGTGATACTGAGCAGTTTTTCGTATGTGGGGAAATTTCATGTCTTTTGCTCCTGTTTCAATTAAATCATTTGTTTTATTGAGTTGTTTGAGCTTCTTATATTTCTAGTTATTAATCCCATCTCAGATGCATAGTTTGCACATATTTGCTCCCAATCTGTGGGTTGTCTCTTCACTTTGTTGGTTTATTTTTAGCGGTGCAGAAGTTGCTTAGCTTGAGGTAATCCCAATGGTCTATTTTTGCTTCGATTACTTGTGTTTTGAAGGTTTAAAACAAAATGTCTTCCTTCAGACAAATGTCCTGGAGCATTTCCCCAATATTTTCTTCTACGTGTTTCATAGGTTCAGGCCTTAGACTCACATCTTTAATCCATTTTCATTTGATTTTTGTGTATGGTGACAGGTAGAGGTGCAGTTTCATTCCTCTGCATGTAGATGTCCAGGTTTCCCTGCACTGTTTATTGAAAAGACTGTCCTTTCCTGATTGTGAGTTCTTGGCACCTTTGTCAAAGTCCATTGGATGGGCTGGGCATGGTGACTGACACCTGCAATTTCAGCACTTTGGGAGCCCAAGGCGGGTGGATCACCTGAGGCCAGGAGTTCAAGATTAGTCTGGCCGACGTGATGAAACATTGTCTCCACTAAAAATATATAAATTAGCTGAGCATGGTGGTCAGCACCTATAATACCACTACTCAGGAGTTTGAGGCCAGAGAATTGATTGAACCCAGGAGGCTGTGGTGGCAGTGAACCGAGATTGCACCTCTGCACTCCAGCCTGGGTGACAGAGCGAGACTCCATCTCAAAAGAAAAAAGAAAAAAACATTGGATGTAAATGCATGGATTATATTTGTGTTGTTCATTCTGCTCCATTGTTCTATGTGCCTTTCTTCATGCCAACATCATGCTGTCTTGCTTACTACAGCTCTGTAACATATTTTGAGATCAGGTAGTGTGATGCTCCTGTTTTCTCTTTATACCTTGAAGTCTCAAGACAATGGGCGTCACATACAAAAATTATGGAAAAAAGGATCCCAGGACTCCCAGGGCCCAATATTAGATAACAGAGTGTTGGCCATGAACCAACCTCAAAGATTTCCATTGAGTAGAGGACAGACACCCTCATTTCCTCACCTCTCTCCTGTCTCATGTTCTAGGAAACCCTTCAAATAGTTGGCCTTCACCCACTGAACCAAGCTCTAAAACCGGTGAGTACAGAACCCTCTTATATCCGCTTTTGGAAACCTGGGGAGGTAGAAACCTTCGATGCAGGCATTGACTCAGCATCTCGCAGCTCTGACATTGTACGCCTGTCTTCTACCATCTCCGAACTCCAGATACTCCAACAGCGAAAGGGATCTGGGCCCAACCTAGGGCTCAGTGAAATCTCTTAATCTCTCATTTTATGGAGCTGAGACCTCCTACAAGCTAGAAGAATGATTGCCAATCTGACATCCTTCTCAGGAAAAATGCAATGTTTGTTCTGCCTGCATTCCTAACTGGAGGATAAATTCCTGGGGGCTTGAGAGAGGGAAGGGAAGGGAACATCTGATGAGGGCGAGGTGTTTTAGAGAAGTTCCACTTGCCAAGGAATGAATTACTGTTGGTCATGAAGCAACCCTGGCTGACTCAGCAGAGCAACAGCCTTGCCGTAACAGAGAACGGAGCTCATGCACGCACACTTCGACTCACTGACTCATTCAGCCACGGCCCCATGCTCAGGCTGTGCAGTGCGGAACCTTTTCCTATTGTTGCCATAACAAATTTCCACAAGATTCGTGGGTGAAAACAAAACGGTTTTTTAATTATCTTACAGTGCTGTAGCTCAAAGTAGGAAGTGCATCTTACTGGGCTAAAATCAAGGTGACAGCAAGGCTGCCTTCCCTCTGAGGATTCCAGGCAAGAATCTGCTTCTCACTTGTCCCAGCTTCTAAAGGCTCCCAGTTCCTTGGCTCCTGGTCCCCTTCCTCCTTCCTCAAAACCCACAAAGACTGGTCACATCTCACATGGCATCACTCAGTGCCTTCTTCCTTACCACACCTCTTTCTCTGAATGCTGCTCTCCCTTCTTCCTTATCTTTTGAAAACTTGGGGATTCTATTGGGTTCACCAAGATGAAAATCCCTCATAATCTCCTGGAAATCATCCAGGATACCCTTGTTTTAAGTTCAGCTGATTAGCAACCGTAATTCCATCTACAATCTTCATTCCTCCTTTCCATGTAAAATAACATATTCACAAGGTATGGAGGCTAGGACAGGGACATTTTGGGGTGGGACAGCATTCTCCTGCCTTCCACAAACAGTGAACAAGATGCATTTGGCCTCTGCCCTTGGGACACTGATATTGCAGATGGTTAAATGGGAGGGCAGAAAATGAATGCACAAGTGGATCTATAAATGAATGATCCATTGGGAAGCATCTGTGCATGAAATCTATTTTTTGTTTGTTCTTTTGTTTATTGAGACAGAGTTGCCCTCTGTCTTCCAGGCTACAGTGCAGTGTCACGATCTTGGCTCACTGCAACCTGCTTCTCCTGGATTCAAGTGATTCTCCTGCCTCCGCCTCTCGAGTAGCTGGGATTACAGGCAACTGCCACCGTGCCCGGCTAATTCTTTTTGTATATTTTTTGTAGAGAGGATGTTTCACCACGTTGGCCAAGCTTGTCTGAAACTCCCAACCTCAAGTGATCCGACCGTCTCAGCATGCCAAAGTAATGGGACTACAGGCGTGAGCCACTGTGCCCAGCCAGAATTCAAAATCAATAATAGATAATGCTGAGTGTATGATTTCAGGTGACAAAGAAGGTCTCACTATTCAGATATTTGTGACATTAATGAAAAACACGGATTGAACCCCTGAAAGATTGGCGGAAGGATTTTGCACACACAGCTGTCAGCCGTGAAGGCACAAAGGTGAAAACAATCTGATGTGGAAGGAAGAGGCTCTTCCTCAAATGCTGGGAATGATGTGGGGAGAATGACAAGATGACTGTGGAGAGACGGAGAGCACACTGGGTACACAGGAAACTAAGGAGGAACAAGGAGTGTGTGTTTGACACTCACAGCCATTGGATTCACCTCGGGGTAGCCAGGAATCCCTACATGATTAATATGACTGACATGAAAATAAGGGAGGCTCAGTTGCATAACTGGAATCTAGGAGACCGTGGAAAAGGCAATTGCCGCCCCACTGGTGAAATGTGGTGCTGATTTAGACACTAAATGAATGAAGTAGATGGATATAAGATAGGTTTGTGAGGTAGAATCATTGACTGGAAAGGCTTGCTGGGTTTGATTTTCCTACTTGTTTAATCCTCGCTTAATTAATTTCTTTCTGAGATTTATTCATCCTACACATAAATCAATACCTGGCAAAGGAGTGACAGATATATGAGGGGTGGTGGAAATGAAGAGACCTATTATAGCATAATATACAAGTCTGTGAACGGTGGCTCACGCCTGTAACCCAGCACTGCAGGAGGCCAAGGCGGGTGGATCACATGAAGTCAGCAGTTCGAGACCAGCCTGGCCAACATGGTGAAACCCTGTCTCTAGGAAAAACACAAAAATTAGCCGAGCATGGTGGTGCATCCCTGTAATCCCAGCTCCTACTCTGGAGGATGAAGCAGGAGAATGACTTCAACCCAGGAGGTGGAGGTTGCAGTGAGTGGAGGTTGCATCACTGCACTCCAGCCTGGGTGGCACAAGGAGACTCCGTCTCAAAAAATAAAAATAAGAAATGCATAAATATAAATATAATATAACACACGCAAATGACAAAGGGACCTGAATTCCAATCATGATTTTTCTATTTCTCTATAATTACTTCTTTGATCCTTTATCTTATCCATTAGGCAATGAGCCTAAAACCTCTTCCCTATTTGGCTTTCTGTGAGCATGAGATCATATAGAAAATGTGAAAGTCCGCTGAATCCTCCAGCACAGATCCTGGAATAGAGAAAGTGCTCTGGTCATCACAAAAAAAACTTGCCCACTCACCCAAATCCCCCACCTCACCCCTACTTCCAATCACCTGTGGAGATTCAGGTAGACCATGGGGAGGTAAACATTAACACTCCTTGGAGTGAGTCCAGATCTTGGAATCAGAGATCAGCGACAGCACTAGCTCCTGCTCCCCTTTCCTACTAATTCACAGGAGGACAGGTGGTATTGAAGCAATAGATGGCCGAGGGGGTGGTCCTTCCCCCAGCCTCTCGGGTAGAACAGCAGCCTAATATGTGTCTCCCGAGATCACAAAGAGCAGCAGGTTTCACACGGGCTTCAACACTATTTCCTGGCCGTTTGACATAAGAGAATTCTATTTCGCTTTTTTTATCTTGATTTCACTTTTGTTTTCTTTCCTTGGAGAATGCAAGTTGTTTGATTCAAGAATGCTGTGGATGTAGAAACCCTAAAGCACATTCGCTGTGAATCAATCCCAGTCCAGTCTTCCCAGAGAAGACTCTAAACACCTCCTGGACTGCACCTGGGCCTATGCCAATTCCTATCACTCACCGTCACTCCAGGGAGACAGAACACACAGAGAATACGTTACATAGGCAGGTTCATTACTAACAGATAAGCAGCGAGTGACAACAGAAACCTATATTTCAATGTGAGCCAGTCCCTCAAGGCTCAGAAAAGCTCCTCGGGACATATGGAGTCACCCCATTTGCAGTGTAGCTGCGGGAAGCCAGAAAGCAGCCCAGCCTGGGTTTTGTACCCTGGAGCCACAGGAAGCACTCAGCTAAAGCACTGCATGACGTCCTCCAGGAAGAACAGGAAGACAGCCCAGGGTGTTCTGAGACGTTCCTCCTGATCTCAGGAAGTTGCTGTCTTAGGCCATTTTTGTTGCTCTAAAGGAACACTTGAGCCTCGGTAACTTCTAAAGAAAAGAGATTGGTTTGCCTCACCGTTCTGCAGGCTGTACTGGAAGCATGGCACCAGCATCTATTTCTCGTGACGGCCTCAGGCTGCTCCCACTCTGGCAGAAGGGAAGGAGGGTCTGTCTGTGCAGAGACCACAGAGATCACACGGCAAGAGAGGGAGCAAGGGGGAGGGGGAGTGATGGAGCTTCCAAGCTCTTTTTAACAACCAGCTCTCCGGGAACTAATAGAGGGGGAACTTGCTAACCCCGTCTCCTTGGGACAGCATTGATGTGTTCATGATGGATCCACCTCCATGACCCAAACACCTCTCAAGAGGCCCAACCTCCCACAGTGGGGGTGAAATTTCAATGTGAGGTTTGAAGGGGTCAAACATCTCAACTAAAGTAGTCGTATCCTCAGCACGTTCTATGGTTACTATGAGAGCTATAACTGAAAAAGCAGGAGAAAGCTGGGTCTCCTGCCATCTGGGTGCTTGTCCTAAAGAGATGTTTTATGTGGTTACCTGTCAATCAAGAAATGCGAGACAATTCATAAAGAGGAACTGCTAAGATTAGCTTCTTATTGGTGTCTCATCTTCTTCCAGGTAACCCCCGACACCTGCACATTCTGATTGGGACCTCAGTGGTCATCATCCTCTTCATCCTCCTCTTCTTTCTCCTTCATCGCTGGTGCTCCAACAAAAAAAGTAAGTCTCACGAAGCAGAGGCCAGAGAGCTCAGGGCCATGTGGGGAAGCAGGATGGGAGCACTCAGGTGTGTGTTCCTCACAAACAGGATGGTCCCTGGCCCAAGGCAGCAGCCACAGAGGCAGGACTTTCTAGAGAGGGCACCAGACTCCCTGCCCCTGCCTTCAACTCACAGACCGTTGCCTGATTCTGAACTGTATCCTCATGTCCCCTGCAGCCACTCACATCCAGGAGAAGGTTCCATGACAGGCAGAAAGTGGGAGACAGAATCAATGGGATGGGAACTCAGAGCTATTCATGGGATGGGTCCTTGAGCTCAGAGAGATAGAATGTCTGAGTCTGCTGTTGGCAACTGAGGGACCTCAGCCACCTATGGTCTCCCCCTGTATGTTGGTATCTGCTTATGAAATGAGGACCCAGAAGTGCCCTCCGAGCTGTTTTGTTGACTTCCGTCTCCTACAGATGCTGCGGTAATGGACCAAGAGTCTGCAGGGAACAGAACAGCGAATAGCGAGGTAGGTACTCCTCGGCCCGGGCTCGTGGCTACTGTTATTCCCAAAGAGTCCTGGAAAATGTGAGCACCCTCCCTCACTCAGCATTTCCCTCTCTCCAGGACTCTGATGAACAAGACCCTCAGGAGGTGACATACACACAGTTGAATCACTGCGTTTTCACACAGAGAAAAATCACTCGCCCTTCTCAGAGGCCCAAGACACCCCCAACAGATATCATCGTGTACACGGAACTTCCAAATGCTGAGTCCAGATCCAAAGTTGTCTCCTGCCCATGAGCACCACAGTCAGGCCTTGAGGGCGTCTTCTAGGGAGACAACAGCCCTGTCTCAAAACCGGGTTGCCAGCTCCCATGTACCAGCAGCTGGAATCTGAAGGCATGAGTCTGCATCTTAGGGCATCGCTCTTCCTCACACCACAAATCTGAATGTGCCTCTCACTTGCTTACAAATGTCTAAGGTCCCCACTGCCTGCTGGAGAAAAAACACACTCCTTTGCTTAGCCCACAGTTCTCCATTTCACTTGACCCCTGCCCACCTCTCCAACCTAACTGGCTTACTTCCTAGTCTACTTGAGGCTGCAATCACACTGAGGAACTCACAATTCCAAACATACAAGAGGCTCCCTCTTAACGCAGCACTTAGACACGTGTTGTTCCACCTTCCCTCATGCTGTTCCACCTCCCCTCAGACTAGCTTTCAGTCTTCTGTCAGCAGTAAAACTTATATATTTTTTAAAATAACTTCAATGTAGTTTTCCATCCTTCAAATAAACATGTCTGCCCCCATGGTTTCGGTAATGGGACTCTTTTCTTGCCTAAGGCTTCCGGTGTTATCAGTACCATGTCCATATAATCCCATCTGTTCCCCACTGAGTTCTCATCCCCGGACTCTGAGTTTCTGGAAGCAGGGTGGAGCCTCATTTGTCTCTGAGACTCCAATTTCCATCCAAAGATGTAGCACATAGGAGGTTCCAAGGATCACGAATCATATGAACAAGTGATACTCTTACTCTCTGCAGACCTGGAAAGCTGGCAGAGTCATTCCACAATGAAACATTTGTAGAATCATAGGCCTTGTTAGTCTCATCTCCATGGGGACACATATCAACACATCATCTTTCATAATATAAATATACGGTCACTCCTCCATATCTGCGGGGTTTACAGGTGTTTATTGAACCAAGTATAAATCAAAAATATTGAGAGAAAGTATCCACAGAGTTTCAAAAAGCATAACTATGTTGAATGGACACAAATGAAGCTGTGTGTAGGCTGTATCAGGAATTATAAGTAATCTAGAGATGATTTCATGTATACAGGAGGATGTGCATAGGTTATTTGCAAACTCTGTGCCATTTCATATAAGAGGCTTGAGCATCTACAGATTTTGGTATCTGAGTGGAGATCTCAAAACCAATCACCCACGAATAGTGAAGGATGACCGTATATGACTTTTATTTCTCAAATTTAAATATAAATCATAAAAAATGTACAACTAGATAAAAACTAAGAAGTGTTTTTATAGTGTGAGTTAGATTTATTTTTTCCTAGGTGTAACCAATTGGTTTAATATTATTTATTGAGAAGACATTCTATGCCACCTTAAACCACACGGCAGCCTTTGTCAACTCTAAAGGGACTGTGTGTACATGGATGTATTTTAGACACTGTTTCTGCTAAGGGGCTCTCTGTGTCCACACTCTTGATGATGCTGCACTTTATGTAGCCTTATAGAACCCTTTAAATTTAGTAGCCAGAGCCCTCTAATTTGTTATTATAGGCTGTTTGCTTTTTTTTTCTTGAGGCGGAGTCTTGCTCTGTCGCCCAGGCTGGACTGCAGTGACACAATCTCAGCTCACTGCAACCTCCGCCTCCCAGGTTCAAGCGATTCTCGTGCCTCAGCCTCTTGAGCAGCTGGCGTTACAGGTGCCTGCCACCAGGCACGGCTAATTTTTGGATTTTTAACAGAGACACGGTTTCACTATATTGGCCAAGCTGCTCTCAAACTCCTTATCTCAGTTGATCCGCCCACCTCGGCTTCCCAACGTGCTGGGGAAAACTTGATTTTCTATAGCATTATGTTACTGGATATTTCTGTAAAATTTAAAACGAGGGAGGGAGAGAGACAGACAGAGAGCAAACTCCAGAGTTGGGACTCTGGAATCTTGGGTCATGAGACAAATTTTAGATTAAACTACAAAACTCCAGAATTTACAGGTGTGGTTTTTGCTGATAAAGTACAATTCTAAGATTGTAAATAATTGCATAATCCTTCCCTGGGAATTTAAATCATTTTAGCTGGTTCTGCTGTAATACTAGAAATACAAGCATGAAAAATTCTAATGGTTTATTAGTCACAATGACTCCGAAAACATTAATAATACCTATTAGATACTTTGCATATTACACAGGAAGAAGAGTTTGAATCTCAGATAAAAACAAAAAAAATACATGAAAAGTCTTTCATGTTAGCACAGATTTTAGGCATCTCGTGTTCGGATAAAAATACATGAAAAGTCTTTCACGTTAGCACAGATTTTAGGCATCTTGTGTTCGGGAGGTTGGATCTGAGACGTGTTGTGAGTTGGTCATAGTGAAGGACGTGAGGTGCCAATTCTAGTGAGAACAATTTCCAGGAAGCCGTGTTCCGCTCTTGAGCAAGCATCCACTGGGCCTCATGCAAGGTAGAAAGAGCCTGCGTACGTCACCCTCCCATGATGTAGTCAACATGTAAGCTGCATGGGCAGGGCGCCAAATAACATCCTGTGCGCTGCTGAGCTGAGCTGGGGCGCGGCTGCCTGTCTGCACCGGCAGCACCATGTCGCTCATGGTCGTCAGCATGGCGTGTGTTGGTGAGTCCTGGAAAGGAATAGAGGGAGGGAGCGCGGGGATGGAGATCTGGGCCCAGAGGTGGAGATATAGGCCTGGAGGTGGAGTTATGGGCCTGGAGTGGAGATCTGGGCCTGGAGTGGATATATGGGCCTGGAGATGGAGTGATGGGCCTAGAAGTGGAGATCTGGGTCTGGAGTGGAGATATGGGCCTGGAGGTGGAGATATGGGCCTGGAGTGGAGATCTGGGCCTGGAGTGGAGATAGGAACCTGGAGGGGAGATATGAGCCTGGAGTGAAGATATTGGCCTGGGATGGAGATATGGGCCTGGAGTGGAGACATGGGCCTGGAGGTGGAGATATGGGCCTGGAGGTGGAGACATGGGCCTAGAGGTGGATATCTGGGCCTGGAGTGGACATATGGGCCTAGGATGGAGATATGGGCCTGGGTGTGGAGATATGGGCTTGGGGTGGAGATATGGGCCTGGATTGGAGATATGGGTCTAGGGTGGAAATATTGGCCTGGAGTGGAGATATGGGCCTGGAGTGGAGATATGGGCTTGGGGTGGGGATAGGGGCCTGGGGTGCGGATATGGGCCTGCAGGCTGGGTCTCTACACAGCCGACAGCCCTGTTCTTGGGTGCAGGCTGGCACTGAGGGTGAGTTTCCCTTCAGCCCAGCAAGGGCCTGGCTACCAAGACTCACAGCCCAGTGGGGGCAGCAAGGGAGTCCTGGTTTGCCTGCAGATGGATGGTCCATCATGATCTTTCTTTCCAGGGTTCTTCTTGCTGCAGGGGGCCTGGCCACATGAGGGTGAGTCCTTCTCCAAACCTTCGGGTGTCATCTCCCCACATAAGAGGATTTTCCTGAAACAGGAGGGAAGCCCGGTGGGGGATTTTCTTATAAACAAGGATGAGGAGACCCTGGGGTGCTCAGCCCACAGTTCCGACCTTGCCCTCCCCAGCCTTCCTTTCCCTTGGCTGAGTCAGGTTCTGTGGGAACCCGGGAGGGTAGACTGGGGTCCTCCAAGCTGGGCTGTGCGGCTGGGATGTGGTGTCACTGGCAGAGGAAGGGAGCAAAGCAGTGCTAGGAACAGCAGGCCTCTGAGGACAAAGGTGTAACTCACACCCTCCAGCGTTTCCATGACGGTAGGGGCTGCAGTGTGGCTGCTGTCATTCTACCTCAGAGGTGGGGGAACCCCAGCCAGGGCCCTGACCTTCCAAATCCTCTGTTGGGGGCTCAGTTGTGTATTGTGGTTCACACATTGGCTGATATTCCATTCACAAAGAACATGCCCTCGACTCCATGTCTATTTGTGTTGTTTTATGTGAGTAATCTTGCAGGATTAAAATCTAGTAGGAGTCCCTTACTCAGCACTTGCTCAAAGTTCTCAGCTGACACTTTTGTTGTAGAGAGACGCCAAGTCTATGCGGGGTGGGTCCTTCCTGTAGCCCTGGGCACCCAGGTGTGGTAGGAGCCTTAGAAAGTGGAAATGGGAGAATCTTCTGACACGTGGAGGGAGGGGCGGCTCCACATCCTCCTCTCTAAGGTGGCGCCTCCTTCTCCCCCAGGTGGTCAGGACAAGCCCTTCCTCTCTGCCTGGCCCAGCCCTGTGGTGTCTGAAGGAGAACATGTGGCTCTTCAGTGTCGCTCTCGTCTTGGGTTTAACGAATTCAGTCTGTCCAAAGAAGACGGGATGCCTGTCCCTGAGCTCTACAACAGAGTATTCCGAAACACCGTTTTCATAGGCCCTGTGACCCCAGCACATGCAGGGACCTACAGATGTCGGGGTTCACACCCACACTTCCTCACTGGGTGGTCAGCACCCAGCAACCCCCTGGTGATCATGGTCACAGGTCAGAGGGCTCCTGTCTGGGATTCTCCTTGTCCCACCTCCTGAGTCCCAGAGCTTCTGGTGGGAGTGTCCACCAGCGTCCCATCATCCAGACCCTAACTGTATTTGGGGTAAAAGGGGATTGAATACAGGGAAATGGGTGCTGTGGTGGAAAGAATAATTGTCCCCAATGATGACTGCATTCTAATCCCTGCAGTCTGTGACTATTTATGTTATAGGGGAAGGCACTGAAGGGGAAGATGGAGCTCAGGTTGTTGAGTTGACCTTGAGATGGGGAGACAGCCTGGACTGTCCTGCTGGGCTCAGTGTAATCACAAGGGTGCACATGAGAGGAGAAGGAAGAGGGGAGTGGCGATTAGAGCAGTGCAATGGAAGTCTCCATCAGCTTTGAAGGTGGAGGAAGGCCATGAGCCATGAATGCAGGTGGCCTATAGAGGCTGGAAAAGTCAAGGAACTGATTCTCCTGGGTCTCCAGAGGGAACGCAGCCCTGCAGATGCCTTGATTTTAGCCCTCAAAAAACAGGGTCCGATTTCTGTCTCCAGAAACGGAAGGGGTCAGTGTGCTCTCTCCTGCTGCCATGCTTCTGATAATTTTCTACAGCACCAACAGGAAACCAACACTGGAACCCAGGTCAAGGACAAGATAAGAAAGGACACAAGGATAGCCGGGCGTGGTGGCAGGTGCATGTAATCCTAGCAACTCAGGAGGCTGAGGGCAGGAGAATCACTTGAACCCAGGAGACAGAGGTTGCAGTGAGCCTAGACCACACCACTTCACTCCAGCCTGGGTGAAGGAGTGAGACTCTGACTCCAAAATTAATTAATTAATTAAAGAAACCAAACAAAGAGAAGGTTGGCTACACCGAGATCAGCAAGGGTGGGATGATGATGCCACCACCAGGCTCCATCCACATAGGGAGGGGTTGATACTCCTCAAACCAGCACCAGAAGCCAGCCTATGGAAGCTGGCACCATGGAGAAGGCACAGGCATGGCAAGAGTGGCTCCCAGTCCCCACCAGGAACAGGGTGTGTGGACACTGGTGCCTGCCTTACTGATCAGTTCATACCTTCTGCCAAGGATTCCAATTCGTCCAAAAGAGATTGAACCAGTCTGCTAAGAGCCTGGACGTGCAGCCTATCCTGGTTCCTCTTCCACCCCCACATAGAAGCAGGAAAGACATTAGTTCGAAATAGATACAACAGCCCAAGAGATGAGGCTGAGCCCAGCGGCAAGGGAATCAGGAGCTACTAGAGACAGAGGGACAGAGAAGAGGGAGGGAGACAGATGGAAGGACCTGTACCAGGAGTTATGGGCACAGAAAAGAACATGAAGACACAGAGAGGAAGGAGAGAGATAAGACACCAGCGAGGGGAAGCCTCACTCATTCTAGGTGCCATGGATGGGATGATAAAGAGAGATGCCTTCTAAAGTCACAACCTCTCTTCCTAGGAGTCCACAGAAAACCTTCCCTCCTGGCCCACCCAGGTCCCCTGGTGAAATCAGAAGAGACAGTCATCCTGCAATGTTGGTCAGATGTCATGTTTGAGCACTTCCTTCTGCACAGAGAGGGGAAGTTTAATGACACTTTGCGCCTCACTGGAGAGCTCCATGATGGGGTCTCCAAGGCCAACTTCTCCATCGGTCGCATGACGCAAGACCTTGCAGGGACCTACAGATGCTACGGTTCTGTTCCTCATTCCCCCTATCAGTTGTCAGCTCCCAGTGACCCTCTGGACATCGTGATTACAGGTGAGAGTGTCTGGACATTATTCTCATTGTCACTGGGACACAGAGTGAATGATCCACGACTTGGAGGCCCAGGTGGTTATAAGGAAGATGAGCTTGGTATTCTTATGGAGAGAGACTAATTTGGTGAGGTCTGTACCAACAGAGACAGAGAAACAGGAGACACAAGTACAGACCAGGTGTCATAACAGAGGACAGACACAGGGGCCATACAGGGAGTTAGAAAAGACAGAAAGAGTTAAAGGAGACACAGACAGACATGTGCCAGAGAGAGGTGTCCTTCCATGCTGACTTTGCTCAGAGACCTGGCACAGGTTAGAAGTTTCATTTCTGTTTTACTTCCACAAAGTGTTCTCTACCAGAAGAACCCAAGGACACCCATATTTCTGGCCTGAGTTGGGCCCTGTGGCCTCAGGCCTTCTGGCACCTACAGATGCCGTGTTTATTCTGACACCTCTGCCTTCCATGCAATGGAGAGTAATCGTCCCAGGATATCATGGCCCCAGAACATCAACCCCTGTATACTGTGTGAACTTGCGGTCCCCAGACTGGATTCTGAGGCTCACATTCCAAATAACCCCACATATGAGAGGATCACTGAGAGACACAGAGAGAAATCAGGGACACCAAAAAGCAAAGACATAAACACACAGAGAATGAGCCAGAGGAAGGAGATTGAGAGACTCACAGACACATAAAGAGGGAGAAAAGAGGGCAGAGAAGTGGAGAGAACAATGGAAGGGAACAGAGAAAAGCACTAAAATTAGAGTCCTGAGGGAGAGGCACAAGGACATAGAAAGATGGAGATGTGGGGATGAATTGCAGAGATTCCAAAGAGAACTAGAGAGACCGAGAGGCAGAGCAAGACAGATGATAGATGGATAGATATAGATAGATGATAAATAGGTAGATGATAGATAATAGGTTATAGATACATAGATGATGATCGATTCATTCATTGATTAATCGATGATACATAGAGATGATGAAGATGAAGATAGATAGATAATACATAGAGATAGAGAGGCAGACAAAGAGAAATCATAGAGAGAGAGAGATGATACATAGATATAGATAATAGATGATTTTTGGATAGACAATTGATAGATAAATAGATTATATATAGATATAGATGACAGGTAGAGAATTTGTAGATAGGCACCAGATAGATAAATAGATATATCGATAGATAATAGATAGAAATATGCAGAAAGTTATGAACAGGACACAAAGTGAGAAACTCAGAATTTAAAAAAAGTAACATCAAGTCAACTAGTCCAAGGAGAGTCAGAGAGAATAAAACAATCCAAAAAGGGAAAACATATCTAGAGGTGAGAAAGTGAGGTCAGAGACCTAGAGAGACAGAGAAGGTGGAAAGAGGAAATAGACATAAAGAGAGATGGTGTGGAGGGTGAGACAGAGAGAGAGAGCATTAGGCCATAGAGCAGGGGAGTGAGTTCTCAGCTCAGGTGGGAGGGGAGTTGTGACAAGGAAGAACCTCCCTGAGGAAACTGCCTCTTCTCCTTCCAGGTCTATGTGGGAAACCTTCTCTCTCAGCCCAGCCGCGCCCCATGGTTAAGGCAGGAGAGAGCGTGACCTTGTCCTGCAGCTCCCGGAGCTCCTATGACATCTACCATCTATCAAGGGAGGGGGAGGCTCATGAACTTAGGTTCCCTGCAGTGCCCAAGGTCAATGGAACCTTCCAGGCCAACTTTCCTCTGGGCCCTGCCACCCACGGAGGGACCTACAGATGCTTCGGCTCTTTCCGTGACTCTCCCTACGAGTGGTCAGACCTTAGTGACCCACTGCTTGTTTCTGTCACAGGTGAGGAAACCAGTCTGTTCCCCAAATAGTGGGACTCAGATGGACTACAATGGCCACATTCAGGGGAGCCTCAGATGGAGGGGGTGGCCATGGGGGTGTCAGCCAGAGATGCTGGACAGAAGAGACACAAAGCAAACATACAGAAAGAGGCATAGACAGACAGACAGAGCGAGGCAGACAGATCACATTAGGGTTTGGGGTGGTAACTGCAACCCTACCTGAAGCTTGCAGATAGAGCACAGGCCACATAAACCACTTCCCAGTCTTTGTACAGAAGCCCACCTGGGACACATGTAAACAGCATCAATGCTGACTCAGGAGCATGAAAGGCCGGGCTCAGATTGGAAAGACTAGAGGTAGCATTGGCCGCCCGCCATTGCCCATTTCCAGAAGCCCCCACCTCTCACCAAAGAGTGATTTCCACATGGGGGGCACAGATGCAACCATCGTTGGGGGAGCCCCAATGTCTCTTGATGGGAGGCATTTTCCACCCTAGATGTTTTTTGCTCTCTCCACACCTTGGAGACTCAGTGGGGGAGTCTTCTCTGGGGACTCGGGGAGGGCCTCCCTGGGACTCGCAGGATTTCCAAGCTAGATGACAACATGACAGGTGGAAACAGGCCCATTCCTTCGCCAGGGGCCCCAAGCTCCATCCCAGGAGATGAGAAGAGGCTCTTCTCATTGGTCAGTGGATCCCTGAGGGGACAGAGGCTCAGCACTGAAGGCTGAGAAGGATCTGCCACTTCGCTCAGTGGCCTCAAGCCAGACATCTTCCCTACAGACTTGCAGTGATTCTCCATCAGCATTTAGGGCTGTGGCCACCAACCTGGGTGTTGGTCTGTAGGAACTTTTCATTTCTGACCTTCCATAACTGAGTTCTCTTCCTAAATGTGGAATGCCTTGTACTCCATGTTACTCTCTCCCCAGAAAGAATGTGTGGCTTGTCTGCTCTCCAGCCCTGTCATGGAGATTGATAATCCTTAGGGAGCAAGAGGAGAGGGAAAGAACAAAGTATGAGACCACCTAGGTGCTACTGGTTGAGGTTCCATTTGCCAGTGAAGGGACTTCACTCAGCCGAGGGGGCAACTCAGGGAAGTCAGCCGAGGGAGGGCATTAGAGTAGAGAGAACTGAGCTCACCCAGTAAATGACCCCTTCACTAACTCATTCATCTAATATTTATTTCACACCTACCATCAGTTCTCTCTGTTTCATGGCCAGGAGTAGACAGCACGGCCAAGCTCCTGGGTTCATGATGCTCACATTGCTGTGGGGTGGGAGAGAGAGGCAGAACATGAATGAATGAATGAGAGAATGAATGAATGAGTGAATGATGGAATGAGTGAATGAATGAATGAATGAATGTATGAATTAGTGAGTGAATCCTTAGCACTTGGTGAAAGTGCCATGCACAGAATGAAATGAATGAACGTGGAACGTTGTCATTTGGAGTGTACAGGAGGGAACGTCTCACTGAGACCTCATCAGAGAGATCACATTTAAACTCCGATCTTAGAGACAAGAGGGAGTGAGCCCTGGGGAGTGTGTTGAAAGGAACTTTCATGGACTTAGGACATTGGGGATGACCCTAATGTGAGAATGAGCTTGGTGTGTTCCAAGAAGTCCATGGACCTGCCATATGGTGAGGGCTGGTCAGAATCCAGAGAGATTTCTAAATGCCCTTGTGCTTGTAAGGAAAGTGAGTCCTGTGGTTGGGAGTGGACTTATACCTTGGGTCAGGTCCAGCAATTATCTTTCTAAATCCTCTCTAATTGCCTGAACCACTTCTATCAACAACTGAGAAAAGAGGAGTGTTAAACACCCCACTGTGGCCGTGGATTTGCCTACCTGTCCATTTATTTCCGCGACTCTTCCTCCATGTATATTTGCAGGAATATTACTGGGAGTGGTTAAGTGTAAACTGATTATATATTCCTGGTAAATTTAAAATGCTATAAATTTACCTGCTTTTTTCCTACATTTTATGCTTAATGTTTTCCGCTGATTTTTCCCAAAGACTAATTTTGTCTAATTTTAATATAGTTATACCACATTTCTAACAGTGATTGCTTGGTATATTTCTACATTGTTTAATTTCAAACTCCATGAATTGTTAACATTGAGATGTGTCCTTTGTAAATTTCAAACAATTCGCCTTAGAAAGTAAGACTTTCTGACAATCTTTTGTTCATGTTTGAGCAGTTCTTCCAATCATATTTTTGTTATTATTACGTTGTGTTTTCCTGATTCCCTTTTTTTCCCACTGACTTCTGTGGTTTTCTATTTCAAACATTCTATTTTTGATCTATGTCGTTTAGGAATACATATATGGTGTACTCATCCTGAAGTTGTTACATATTTTTAAAATTGAAATTAATCATTTCAGAGATTAAACTGCAAATATAAAAACATATTTCCACTCTTCCTGTGTAAGAACAGGATTTTAGAGCATATTTAGTACATATGTTTGTATTTACTTATATGATGTTTTGTTTTGTGGTATACATAATTCTATCTTTTTCAGAAATTACACAGGGGCATGTTTTCATACACTATCGTATGGTCCATATTCATTTTTGGCATAGCCATATTTTTAGTTCTTCCTCTGCTCTTAGTTATTGTCAGAATCTTCGACACCCCATCTGGTTTCACTTTCTTTATCTTTGAGGCACGGTCATCAGAATTTCCTTTAGGGTCAGTGAGAAAAGCTTTCTTTGCCCTTTTGTCTTTCAGTTCTGTTTCTTTCCTGCGTTGATCTTGGACAGTAACTGTACTATGTAAGGAATTGTCGGTGGCTGGCGACGGTATCTTAGCTGGGTAAAGATGCTATTCTACTGGCTTATGTTTTCCTTTTTTCTGTGGGGAAGACAATGCTTGGCTCCCTATAAATCCTTACCAGCTGATCCTTTTCCTCTGGCTAATTTTAAGGGTTGGTTGTGCTTTTATGCTGCTTTTCTGTAATGTTGAACGTGAGGTGTGTTTACTTCATTCTGCCTGGCATTCACTGGATTTCTTGAACCTGTGGATTGATGGATGTGTCTACTTCCTCCAAATAATCAACAATTGCCTCTTTAAAGATTGCTTCTGACCTGTTTTCTCGTTCTTTCTTTTTGGAACTCAAGTTAGGAGCATTCTAAAACTGTTGTCAATTTTTACCCTGTCACAAAACTGCTCTTTCTTGTTTCAGTTATTTGCTTTTTCTGTGCATTAATATTGATGGTTTCCTCTGTCATAGAGGATAAATACTCTCTTCACTGTTGTGTACACAACATTTTAACTAGTTATTCTGGTTTAAATTTAATATTGACTTTATCTACATATCACAATTGATTACTGTGTACAGACTTTCTTTTCTATTAGTATAAATTTATGAGGTACACTTGTAATTTTGTGACATGAGTATGTTGCAGAGTAGTGAAGTCAGGACTTTTACTATATCCATCACCCAAATACCGTACATTGTACTCATTAAGCAAATTCTCATCACTCACCCACGTCCCGCCACCCTCCAGCCTTCTAGCCTCCGCTGTCCGTCATTCCACACTCTACGTCCATATGTACACATTACTCCCCTCCCATGTAGAGTGAGAAGATGTGGTATTTGTCTTTCTGAGTGGTTTTATGTAAAATAATGGCGTCCAGCTCCATCTATGTTGCTGCAAAAGACATGGTTTTATTTTTATGACCAAATAGTATTTCGTTGTGTATACACGCATCCTTTTTTTAATCCAATCATTCATTCACAGACACTTAGATTGATTTCATATCTTTGCTATTGCAAACAGTGCTGCAATAAACATACAGGTGCAGATATTTTTTGAGTAGATACCCAGCAGCGGGACCCCTAGATCGAATGGTGCTTCTATTTTTGGTTCTCTGCCAAATTTCCATACTGTCTTCCATAGAGGCTATACTAATTTACATACCGGCCAACAGTGTATAAGAGTTTCCTTTTCTCTGCATCCTTGCCAACACCTGTTATATGTTTCACTTTTTCTTTTTTTCTTTTTGAGATGGAGTCTTCCACTGTCACCCAGGCTGGAGTGCAGTGCCGCCATCTCCACGCGCTGCAACCTCCACCAACCAGGTTCAAATGATTCTCCTGCCTCAACCTCCTGAGTAGCTGGGATTACAGAACCACACCACCATGCCCAGCTAATCTTTTGTATATTTAGTAGAGATGGGGTTTCACTATGTTGGTCAGGCTGGTCTCAAACTCCTGACCTCATGATCCACCCGCCTCAGCTTCCCAAAGTGCTGGGATTACAAGCGTGAGCCACCACTCCCCACCAGCATTTTTAGTAATAGCCATTCTGACTACTGTAAGATGATATCTCATTGTGGTTTCAATTTGCATTTCTCTGATGATTAGTGATGTTCATACGCTGTTTGGCCATTCGTATGTCTTCTTTTGAAAAATGTCTATGTATATCCCTTTGCCCACTTTTTAATGCTATTATTTGAGGGGTTATGTTTAGTTGTTTGAGTTGCCTAGAAATTCTGGATGTTAGTCCCCTGTTGGGTGCATAGTTTGCAAACATTTCCATTCATTCTGTGGGTTGTCTGTTCACCCTGCTACTATTTCCTTTGCTTGGCAGAAGCTCTTTCGTTTATTAAGTCCCATTGGTCTAGTTTTATTTTTATTGCCTGTGCTTTTGAGGTCTTAGTGATGAATTCTTTGCCCAGACCAATGCCCAGAAGAGTTTCTCTTTGGGTTTCCACCGGTGATTTTATAGTTCTGGATTTACATTTAAGCTGCTAATTACCTTAAGTTAATTTATGTGTATGATTACAGATACAGGTCCAGTTTTATTCTTCTGCATATGGCTATTTAGTTTTCCCAGCACCTTTTATTGAAAAGGAAATCTTTCTCCAGGGTATGTTTTGTTAACGTCGTCAATGATTATTCACTGTAGATATGAGGCTGTATTTCTGGGCTCTCTATTCTGGTCTATTGATCTCTGTTTCTGTGTCTATACCAGCACTGTGCTATTTAAGTTACTATAGCCTTAGAGCATAGTTTGAAGTCAGATAGCGTGATGCCTCCAGGTTTCTACATTCACCTAGAATTGCTTTCTCTATTAGGATCTTTTTTGGTTCTGTATGAATTTTAGGATTGCTTTTTCTAATTCTGTGAAAACTGGTGTTACTATTTTCATATAAGAATTGCACTGAATCTGTAGATTGCTTTAGGCAGTATGGTCATTTTAACAATATTAATTCTTATGATCCATGAGCGTGGGATTTTTTTTCTTTTTTTTTTTTGTATTATCTATAATTGCTTTCATTGGTGTCTTACACCTTTCCTGGTACAGATCTTTCACCACCTTGGTTAAATGTATTCCTGAGTGTTTTAATTTTGCGTATCTATTGTAAACGGCATTGCCTTCTTGATTTGGTTCTCAGCTAGATCATTATAGGTGTAGAGAAATGCTACCGGCTTTTACATATTGATTTTGTATTCTGAAACTTTACTTAGTTCATTTATCAATCATAAGAATTTTTGGCAGGGTCTTTAGGATTTTCTAGATTTAAGATCATAGCATCAGAAATAAAAATAATTTTACTTCCTCTTTTCTAATTTGGATTTTTACTTCTTCCTGTTGCCCAATAGCTCTGACAAGGCTTCCAGTACTATGTTGATAGGAAGTGGTGGATGTCCGTGTCCTTGTCTTGTGCCAGTTCTCAGAGGAGTGCTTTTAACTTTTCCTGTTCAGTATGATGTTGACTCTAGATATGTCATCTATGGCTTTTATTATTTTGAGGTATGTTCTTTCTATGCCTAAGTTTTTGAGGGTTTTCATCAGGTAAGGATGTTGAATTTCTTTTCAGATGCTTTTCTTTATGTCTATTGAGATGATCATATGGTTTTTGTTCTGGATTCTGCTCGTTCTTCTAAGTGGATGAGACATGCCAGAAAAGCATTTAGTCAGCCATCTTGGAAACAAGCATCTCAGATGTTTTCTTTCTCTATAGCTCATTCTTTCTTACCAGTGTTTTCAATTTTGTACTTAATTTTGTAAAGAGAGTAAATGATATAATTTCCACATATGTTTCCTCTGCCAAATCAGACTCACTATGCTTCCTTTCCTTGTATGCATAACCTACCCAGCAATACACACAAACATTTATTGCTTTGGAGAATTAGTTTGGGAACATTTTTGAAATGTACAAAAAAATGTATATCTTCAAAAGAAATTTCTTTTTGTGGCAAAAGACTTCTGAAGGTGCTCATGATGATATAGGGAGAAGAGGGGTTCTGGACAGGAAGAATTTTATGAAGGTGAGATGGGGAAATAGCTCCATTTCAGAGCTTCTGGGGAGAGAGGGGCCTGGCCCACATGGAAAGGTCTCTGATCTTACCCCCACCCTCCAGCCCCTGTTCTCCAGAACTATACTGTGGAGAGTTCCATCAGGATTGTTGTGGCTGGTCTGGTCTTCCTGGCTCTTTTGGCAATGCTGGCTAAGACCTGGTGGAGACATGAGGGGCCACAGGTGGAAATGGAAGAAACATGACTGAAGCTGGCTGGAGTGAATGGCGCGACATTCTGTCTGTGGGAGATTGGCCAGATGGGTTTCAAGTGTGTTGTATCAGCTGTGACTTTTAGTAATGTTCTTGCTACCACAATATCCACTCGTCCATCCCGAATAATTGTGATGAAATATTGTCCTTGGGATAATATTCATTTGCTAAAGACAGGGATGATACCTCAAGGTGCCACTATATACATCGAGGGGATCCACAAAAGTCCATTCAGTAAAATGTAGTTGGCATCTTAGGGTAGGTTGATTCCACCTCTAAAAAAGTAGGTACAACATCAGGTTGATTTTTCCGAAGAAAAGTGGTGATTGGCCATCTTTAGTCTCAATGTAAACGGTAATACTGATGAGTGTGGAAAAGGCAGGGAAGAGGATTGACAATAAGTGACACTCATTGTTTTCATCTGAGCTTTGAGACTGAAAGAGGAACACAGGAGTGAGATGTATGGGAACAAACCCCTTCTTTTTCCAGCTAAACAGAGTGGAAGTTGGACACTGAGTTTTGGCGTACAGCAAAATCCTAAGTCCATTGTTGGGTTGAACACGGCCATGTTGTACATCCTGGTTTCACAGCAGACACTGGAGGAAAACAGCCTGTATTCATAAGAGGCTGTCCCTCGGGTCACTGCCCAGAATATCCGGAGTTGGTGCTCACAGGGTTGGGAACTCTCCTGGACCAGACAGGCTCTGGATATGGGGGGGTACCAAGCTCCCCGGGGCCATGCCTCCACAGCTCTCTTCTCACCTCATTCTTGACCATTTCCCAAACCTCTGACCTCACCTTCATTCATCCATGGTGAACACGCTAAAGCTGGCCTTCAAAGCTTGAGACAGAGGAAAATTGGGCTTCATCTCTGGGAACTAAATTGGGGAGTGGAGACTCAGTTCTGGCCTGACAGGAGGGAGAAGACCCTGGATCCCAGTGTGGATGGGAAGAAGTATGTGTTTCTCTTTTGTGCTTGGACCCTGTGTCCAAGCATGTCTGAGATGTGATGAAGATGAATCTTCCTTTCCTTGTCTATTTTCTCATGCCAGAGAATTGGAATCTTATATTCCATTAACTCTTTCTGTTCTGTTCATCCAGATTCTATGAAGGAGAAAGGAAAAGATGTGATACTGTAATTTTGCTCCATTTGTCTAAAATGAGTAGGCTGCAACTCCTCTTGAAGTGATACCTTTTCTAGCTCTTGTTGGAGGTGTCTCAGGACTCATTACTTCGGGGAACCTGCAACTGTGTCAGTCTGGGGAAACTGCAAATATTCTTGTCTTACATTTGTCTCCAGCCAATTGTGATGGACTCCAGTGACCTGCAATTGCTGTTATTGCAGGTAAAATGTACCTGAGTCAGGCCACAGTTCTCCTGGACTATGAGCCCCTGGCCATGTTCCTGAGGCAATTCTGTTCATCTAAATATAATAATAATAACACACTAAAAATGGCAAGCCATTGTTAATTCCTGAAGTCTCATTTGAAAATTACTAAATGTCTGTTATTTTTTGGTGTTTACATTATATGTAGACAGATAAACTACACACACACACACACACACACATGCACACAGAAGAATGGATTGGTTCATGTAGAAAAGTAAATAATTCAAGATGAAAGGATGAAATGTCATGGCACCTACTATTCTATTTTAGATAAAGGGTCTATGAAAAGATTGATTTCTTTTTATGTTTTATTTGTTGACATTTGAACACAAACTATGTAAGTGAGGGAGTCGATTTGAAAGGGAGAAGAGCAAGTTCAAACACATTCAGGTGAGGTCATGCTTTACATGTTTTAATTGAAATGATCCATCTTGGGAGTAGATCAATAACTGAGATGGTGCCAGGAATGTTAAAAAGCTTTTGTCAGTCCTAAATATTGACAAATAAAATTTAATTAAAGTCTTAGAAGAAAACACAAAGGAAAACTTCACAACATCGGATTTGGCAGTGATTCTTTAGATGTGACAACAACGGCACAGGCTACTACAGAAAAAATAAACAAGTTAGACTTTATGAAAATTTTGAAATATTGTGACTCAAAAGACAACATCAGTTACTTCACATGGCAAGGAAAAAGAACTTTTAAGACGATATTATCAAAGTAAAAAGACAACCCACAGAATGGGAGAAAATGTTTTCAAACCACACCACCTGTAAGGGATTAACATCCAGAATATACAGACAACTCCTAAAACTCAATCACAATAAACTCAATTCAAAAATGGGCAAAGTACTGAAACAGACATTTCTCCAAAGAACATACGCATGAAAAGATATTCAGCATCACGAATCATTAGGGAAATACTAACTAAAACTACACCAGATGCCATTTCATACCCCTTAGGATGGGTATCATCAAAACAACAACAACAACAACAACAAAGTTTCTATACATTAACAACAAACTATCCAAAAAAGTTTACAAGAAAATAAGCCCATTTGCAATAACTACAGAAAACAAAACATGCAGGAATAAATTCACCCAAGGAGTAGAAAGATCTGTATGCAAAAGCTATAAAACATTGATGAAAAAACTCAAGAAATAAACAAATAAATCGAAAGATATTCCATGTTCACGGATCAGAAGGATTAATGTTGTTAAAATGTCCATTCTATCCAAAGTGATTCAATGCAACCATTATCAAAAATCCAATGACATTTTTTTTACAGAAATAGAAAAAACAGTCCTAAAATTCATGTGGAACCACAAAAGATCTCAAATAACCAAAGCCATCTAGAGGGAAAGGAACAAAGTTGGAAGCATCACATTACCTAAACACAAACTACATTACAAAATTACAGTAATTAAAACAACACAGTACTTGCATAAAAACAGACACATAGACCAATGGAAGTGATTCATAGCCCAGGAAAAAAATGCATGCATTTAGGGTCAAACAATTTTTGGGATGTGTCAAGAACACACAATGGAGAAGGAACAGTCTCTTTAATAAATGGGATTGGGAGACTGCATGTCCACATGCAGAAGAATGGAAGTGGACATTTGCCTCACAAAACATACAAAGTCAACTCAAGATAGATTAATGACTTAAATGTAAGATGAAAGACTATAATCCCAGCAATTTGGGAGGCCAAGGTGGGCAGATCACCTAAGGTCAGGATTCCAAGACCAGCATGGCCAACATGGTGAAATCCCGCCTCTACTAAAAATACAAAAACAGCTGGGTGTGGTTGTGGGTGCCTGTAATCTCAGCTACTCGGGAGGTTGAGACAGGAGAATCACTTGAACCCAGGAGGTAGAGGTTGCAGTGAGCCGAGATCGCACCACTGCACTCCAGCCGGGGCAACACAGTGAGACTCCATCTTAAAAAAAAAAAAAAAACTACTAAAAGAAATCAAGGGAAAACTCCACTGGCTTGGGCAAAACCATTTTGGATATTAACCCAAAGGCCCAGGCAACAAAAGCAAAAGTAGACAAATAACATTATATCAAATTGAAAGTTTCTGCAAAGAAAAAAAAAACTCAACAAGTGGAAAGACAACCTATGGAATGGGAGAATATATTTGCACCCATACATCTAATAAGGAATTAATATCCAAAATATATAAGAAACTCAAACAACTCAATGGTAAGAAATCAAATAACCCAACTTAAAAAAATGGGCAAAGTATCTGAATAAACATTTCTAAGAATAAGACAAATCACCAAAAGGTATATGAAAAAATGATTAGCATTACTAAACATCAGCTAAATAAAAATTAAAACTAGAATGAGATATCACCTCACACCTCTTAGAATGACCATTAACAGTCTGGGCATGGTGGCTCATGCCTGTAATTCAGGCACTTTGGGAGGCCGAGGCAGGGAGATTACCTGAGGTCAGCAGTTCGAAACCAGCCTGGCCAATATGGTGAAACCCCATCCCTACTAAAAATACAAAAATTAGCAGAGTTTGGTGGCGCACACTTGTAGTCCCAGCTACTCTGGAGACTGAGGCAGGGGAATCGCTTGAACCCAGGAGGCAGAGGTTGCAGTACACCGAGATTGTGCCACTGCACTCCAGCCTGGGTGACAGAGCAAGACTGAGTCTCAAAAAAAAAAAAAAAAAAAGACCATTATCAAAAACATAAAAAATAACAAGGGTTAACGAGGATGTGGAGAAAAGGGAACATTTGTATGCAGTTGATGGGAATGTAAATTAGCACAACCATTATGGAAAACAGTCTGGAAGTTCCTGAAAAAATTAAACATAGAATTCCCATATGTGTCTGCAATCCAACTACTGCGCATGTATCCAAAGGAAGTGGAATCAGTATGTTGAAGAGATATCTGCATTCCCATGTTTACAGCCGCATTATTCATAACAGCCAAGATGTGGAATCACCCTTACTGCCCATCTATGGGTGCATGGACAAAGAAAACGTGGTATACGATAGGAACGTAATGAAGTACTATACAACCTTTACAACAAAGAAGGAAGTCCTCTCATTTGTGACAATGTGAAAAAACTTAGAGGACATTATGTTAAGGGAAACAATCCAGGCACAGAAAGACAAATGCCACATGATCTCATGTGTGGAGTGTAAGAAGTGGAACCTAGAGGAACAGTAAAATGGTCGTCGAAAGAACCTGGGATGGAGAGAGATTGAAGAGATGTTGGTCAAAGGATGCAAAATTTCAGTTAGAAGAAATCGGTTCAAGAGATCTATTGTATGTCTTGGTGACTCCAGTTAATAGCAACATATGGTGTATTGAACATTACTAAGAGATTAGATTTTACATGTTCTCACCACACACACAAAACATACAAGTATGTGAAAAAATAAATATGATAAAGAGGTTGTTTCATCCATTCCACAATGTGTACCTATATGAAAACATCATGATGGACACCACAAATACCCTTTTCCTCATTAATTAAATTTGTTTTGGTTTTTTTTTTGAGATGCAGTTTCACTGTTGTTGCCCAAGCTGAGGTGCAATGGCGTGATCTCCGCTCACTGCAACCTCTGCCTCCCAGGTTCAAGCGGTTCTCCTGACTCAGCCTCCCAAGCAGCTGGGACTACAGTTGCGTACCACCCCGTCCGGCTATATTTGTGTTTCTAGTAGAGACAGGGTTTCGCCATGTTGGCCAGGCTGGTCTCGAACTCCAGACCTCAGGTGATCCACCCGCTTCGCCCTCCCAAAGTGCTAGATTTCAGGCTGAGACACCACACCCAGCCTGTACATTGACTTTCTGCCCTTAAACTGTGCTGAAGTTTGTTTCTCAGATGTAGGAGCCTTTGGGCAGAGACTATGGGGTTTCTAGGTATAGAAATTATCTCATCTTCAAACAGAGGTAATTTGACTACCTCTCTCTGCTACTCTCTTCTTACTTGGATGCCTTATAATTCTTTCTCTTTCCTGATGGCTCTGTCTAGGACTTCAAGTACTATGTTGAATAGGATGGTGAGAGTGGGCATTCTTGTCTTGTTTCACTTATGAAGGGAACTTCTTCCAGCTTTTACTCATTCAGTATGATGTTGGTTGTGGGTTTGTCACAGGCGGCTCTTATTATATTGAGTTATGTTTCTTCAATGCTTAGCTTGTTGAGGGCTTTTAACATGAAGAAATGCTTAGTAAAAAGTATGTTCTACATGTGTGTTGAGAAGATCATGTGGTTTTTGTTTTTAGTTTTGTTTAGGTGATGAATCACATGTATTGATTGTGTATGTTCAACCAACCTTGCACCCTAAGAATAAAGTTGACTTGATCATGGTGGATTCACTTTTTGATATGCTGCGGGATTCAGTTCTTAGTATTTTTTGTGGATTTTTGCCTCTATGTTCATCAGGAATATTGGCATGTAGTTTTCTTTTGTTTAATGTTCTTTTCTGTCTTTAGTATCAGGGTGATGCCAGCCTTATAGAATGAGTAAAGGCCACCCTGGGCAAACAGTGAGACCCATCCCTTTTTAAAAATTATGAGTTTTACAAATTTAAAATGCATAGTGAAAAAGTTCTTACAAACTCCAGAAAGGTAGGTGTAAATAAGAGACATTTGTAAGAATGACAGCACATTAAATGTGTAGATTTCAACCTTCAGTTATTGCAATATTCCAGTATCAAGTTGGAGGATGTTATCAGTCTGATATTTTTTCCTCAAATGAGAGAGAGAAAGAAAGACACACAAACAACACAGGGAGAAAAAAAGCACACGTTACAGAGAGACAAAAAGGGAGACAGGGAACTGTGAATTTGGACTCTTGTGTCATAAGACAAATTCTAGATAACACGACCAGACCTTCAATTGACATATTGTGTTTTTGCTAATAAGGTGGAATTCTATGATGCGAAATAACTATATAGTCTTTTCTACTGGGATTTAAATCATTTTATCTGTTTCTGGCTTAACAGGAAAAATACAACCATGGAAAATTATGATGATTTATTTAATACGATTGCTCTATAGTGTTAATAAAACCTATTAGGTATTTTGCATATTACATATCAAGGAGAGTTTGAATCTCAGGTAGAAACAAAAAAAAATACATCAAAAGTTCCTCATGTGAGTGCAGAATTCAATCGTCCCGTGCAGGGGTAAGTGAGTCTGAGATGTGTTTTGAGCCTGGCCGTTGCGCATGATGTGAAGTGACAAGTCTAGTCTGCAGTTTTCAGAAACCCTCATTCCTCCCTTGACTGATTCACCACTTGAACCTCATATGACGTAGAAGAAGCCTACCTATGTCCCCTTCACATGTTGTGGTCAATGTGTCAACTGCACGATCCGGGCCCCTCACCACATCCTCTGCACCGGTCAGTCGAGCCGAGTCACTGCGTCCTGGCAGCAGAAGCTGCACCATGTCCATGTCACCCACGGTCATCATCCTGGCATGTCTTGGTGAGTCCTGGAAGGGAAGGAGCACCAGGGTTACACTATGGGCCTGCAGATTGGGTGTCTCCCCAGCAGAGAGCCATGTTCTGAAGCAAGTGAGTGGTGAGGATGAGTTAATTTTCAGTCCAGCGTGGCGCCCAGTGGCTCAGGAGGAAAGGGTAGGTTGCTGCCGAGATGAATAGTTCCTCATGATCTTTCTTTGCAGGGTTCTTCTTGGACCAGAGTGTGTGGGCACACGTGGGTGAGTCCTTCCCCAAATGATGGGTTGCCATCTTCACCCCAATACAAGTGAATTTTCCGGAAATGGGAGGGAGGCAGCACAGAGGGTGGGCTGATGGGCTGACCATGGGAAGGCCTGGGGGGAGTCTCTCATGAACTAGTAAGAGGAGATCCTGGGAGTCTCTCATGAACTAGTAAGAGGAGATCCTGGGAGTCTCTCATGAACTAGTAAGAGGAGATCCTGGTATGCTCAGCCTTCTGTTTTGTCTTAGCCCTCCCCAGCCTTTCTTCCCCATGGCTGAGTTGAGCTCTGTGTGGCCCAGGCGGGATACTGAGGTGCTCAAAGCTGGGGTGTGTGGGGGGATGTGGTGTCACCGACAGAGGAGGGAAGGGTAGCAGTGTTAGGAACAGCAGGTCCTCTGAGGACAAGAGGGTAACTCACACCCTCCAGCGTTTCCATGACGGTAGGGGCTGCAGTGTGGCTGCTGTCATTCTGCCAGAAGAGGTGGGGGAACCACAGCCACGACCCTGCCATTCCAAATCCTCTGATGGAGCTCAGTTGTTTATTGTGGTTCAGGCATTAGCTAATATTCCATTCACAAAGGTCATACCCTCCACCCCATGTCTACTTTGTGTTGTTTGGTGTAACTAATCTTGCAGTATTAAAATCTAGTAAGAGTCCCTTACTCAGCACCTGCTCAGTTCTCAACTGACACTTTTGTTGTAGGGAGACGCCACGTCTATGCGGGATGGGTCCTTCCTGTAGCCCCAGGCACCCAGGTGTGGTAGGAGCCTTAGAAAGAAGAAATGGGGAGAATCTTCTGAGCACAGGGAGGGAGGGGCAGCTCAACATACTCCTCTCTGAGGCGGCATCTCCTTCTCCCCAAGGTGGTCAGGACAAGCCCTTCTGCTCTGCCTGGCCCAGCGCTGTGGTGCCTCAAGGAGGACACGTGACTCTTCGGTGTCACTGTCGTCGTGGGTTTAACATCTTCACGCTGTACAAGAAAGATGGGGTCCCTGTCCCTGAGCTCTACAACAGAATATTCTGGAACAGTTTCCTCATTAGCCCTGTGACCCCAGCACACGCAGGGACCTACAGATGTCGAGGTTTTCACCCGCACTCCCCCACTGAGTGGTCGGCACCCAGCAACCCCCTGGTGATCATGGTCACAGGTCAGAGGGCTCCTGTCTGGGCTTCTCCTTGTCCCACCTCCTGAGTCCCAGAGCTTCTGGTGGGGGTGTCCACCAGAGTCCGATCATCCAGGCCCCAACTATATTTGGGGTAAAGGGGGATTGAATACAGGGGAATGGGTGCTGTGTTGGAAAGAATAACTGTCCCCATCGATGGCCACATTGTAATCCTTGGAGCCTGTGACTATGTTATAGGGCAGGGGACTGAAGGGGAAGATGGAGCTCAGGTTGTTGATGAGTTGACCTTGAGATGGGGAGATGGCCTGGACCCTCCCACTGGGCTCAGTGTAATCACAAGGGTCCATATGAGTGGAGAAGGAAGAGGAGAATGGGGATTAGAGCAGCATCGTGGGATACTCCACCAGCCACTGTGGGCTTTGAAGGTGGAGGAAGACCACGAGCCACGAAGGGGCTGGAGAAATCAATGGAACTGATTCTCCCGAGTCTCCAGAGGGAATGCAGCCCTGCAGATGCCTTGATTGTAGCCCAGGAAGAACAGGGTCTGATTTCTGTCTCCAGAAGTGGAAGGGGTCAGTGTGTTCTCTCCTGCCGCCATGTTTGTGATAATTTTCTCCAGCAACATCAGGAAACCAACACAGGAACCCAGGTGAAGGACAAGTTAAAAAACCAAACAAGAAGGTTGGCTACCCTGAGATCAGCAAGGGTGCACTGCTGATGCCACCACCAGGCTGGAACCACATAGGGAGGGATCGACAGGAAGAGTTGGGGGTGGAGGGTGAGAGAGAGAGAGAGAGAGAGAGCACTAGGCCATAGAGCAGGGCAGTGAGTTCTCAGCTCAGGTGGGAGGGGAGCTGTGACAAGGAAGAACCTCCCTGAGGAAACTGCCTCTTCTCCTTCCAGGTCTATATGAGAAACCTTCGCTTACAGCCCGGCCGGGCCCCACGGTTCGCGCAGGAGAGAACGTGACCTTGTCCTGCAGCTCCCAGAGCTCCTTTGACATCTACCATCTATCCAGGGAGGGGGAAGCCCATGAACTTAGGCTCCCTGCAGTGCCCAGCATCAATGGAACATTCCAGGCCGACTTCCCTCTGGGTCCTGCCACCCACGGAGAGACCTACAGATGCTTCGGCTCTTTCCATGGATCTCCCTACGAGTGGTCAGACCCGAGTGACCCACTGCCTGTTTCTGTCACAGGTGAGGAAAGCCAATGTCTGTCCCATGTCCTATGGTCCTAGAGCCTTAGCTGAGGAGCTTCCTGCTGATGATGGAGAGAAGCATGGACAGATGTGGAGAGAAGATGCAGCATGGTGTGAGGGTGGGATCAGGGCACAGGATGGCAGACAGGGCACCTCCAAACCCTCCTGCATGGCCTGCATGGAAGCTTGCAGTAAGGGCTCCGGGTACCCAGGCAGATGGAGAAAGTGGTCAGGACAGACCCAGAGGAGGGAGACTGGGCTCAGTTTGGGGAGATCAGAGGTTCCCTCAGCCCCTCAACCTTACCCATTTCCCAGAAGCCCACCCTGGCCTCTCACCTACACAGAGATGTCATCACCAGCAACCCCTACACTTTTTCTTTTCCTTTGAAAAAATGCTGATTGAGGTTAAATATACCTATATAATTTATCAACTTTACCATTTTTAAGTGTAAAATCTAGGGATCATAAATACCTTTATATGCTGTGTGCGGTGGCTCACGCCTGTAATCTCAGCATTTTGAGACGCCAAGGCAGGTGGATCATTTAAAATCAGGGGCTGGAGACCAGCCCGGCCAACATGGGGGAACCAATCTTTACTAAAAAGACAAAAAAAATAAAATTAGCCAGGCATGGTGCCAGGCGCCTATAATCCCAGCAACTTGGGAGGCTGAGGCGGGAGAGTGGCTTAAACCCAGGAGGAGGAGGTTGCAGTGAGCTGAGATCATGCCACTGCACTGCAGCCTGGTGACACAGAGAGACTCTGTCTCTAAATAAATAAATAAATACTTTTATATTCTTCTTTTGTTACCCTCCACCCCTTCCTTCCTAACCTCTGGTATCCACCATTCTACTCTCTACCTTCATGAGGTCCACCTTTTACATCCTGCATGTGAGTAAGAAATGGCAATCCTTGTAATGACCTCCAGTCCATCCATGTGGCTGCAAATGACAGGACGTTTCTCTTTGTATGGATGAGTTGTCTCCATTGTGTGTATGTACTACATTCTCTCTATCCATTCATCCACTGATGGGCAGGTAGGTTGACTCCACATCTTGGCTACTGTGAACAGTGCTGGAACAGTCATGGGAGTGCAGATGTCACTTCAATACACTGAAGTCCTTTTCTTTGCATTTACACCCACTAGTGGAATTGCTAGATCCTCTGGATGTTCTCTTTTTAGGTTTTGTTTTATGCTTTTTGTTTTTTTGACATAGCGTTTCACTCTTGTTGCCCAAGCTGGAGTGCAATGGCACCACCTGGGCTCACTGCAACCTCTACCTCCAGGATTCAAGTGATTCTCCAGCCTCAGCCTCCCGAGTAGTTGGGATTACTGGTGCCCGCCACCACGCCTGGCTGATTTTTGTATTTTTAGTAGAGACGGGGTTTCACCATGTTAGCCAGGCTGGTCTCGAACTCTTGACCTCCAGTGATCTGCCCACTTCAGCCTCCCAAGGTGCTGGGATTACAAGCGTGAGCCACAGTGCCTAATCTCTTTTTAGTTTTTAAGGAACTTCCATATTCTTCTCCTCTGTAATGGCTGTATTAATTTACATTCCTATCAACAGTGTATCAGGGTTCTCCTTTCTCCACCACCTTGCCAACATTTGTTTTGTCTGTCTCTGAGATAAAACCCATTGTAATGGGGTGAGATGATAGCTCATTGTGACTTCATTTGCATTTCTCTGATGATTAGTGATACTGAGCACTTTTTCATATATGCAATGTATATATGTTCATTTGTATGTTTTGTTCATTGAGAAATGTCTGTTCAGGTCTTTTACTAATTTTATAATTAAATTATTAGTTTTATTGAGGTGTTTGAGCTTCTTTTATATTCTAGTTATTAATCCCATCTCAGATGCATAGTTTGCAAATATTTGCTCCCATTCTGTGGGTTGTCTCTTCTTCACTTCATTGGTTGCTTCCTTTGCGGTGCAGAAGCTGCTTGATTTGATATAATCCCAATGGTCTATTTTTTTGTTGTTGTTGTGATTACTTGTGTTTTTGAGGTTTTAAACAAAATGTCTTCCCTCAGACAAATGTCCTGGAGCATTTCTCCAGTGTTTCCTTTTAGACATTTAATGGATTCAGGTCTTAAGTCATTAATCCATTTTCATCTGATTTTTGTGTATGGTGAGAGGTAGAGGTGCAGTTTCATCCCTCTGCATGTAGATATCCAGTTTTCCCTGCACCATTTATTGAAATGACTGTCCTTTCCAGATTGTAGATTCTTCGAACCTTTGTCAAAGTCCATTGGATGTAAATGGGTGGATTACATCCGTGTTCTTCATTCTGCTCCATTGTTTTATGTGCTTTTCTTTATGCCAATGTCATGTTGTTTTGCTTACTACAGCTCTGTAACATATTTTTAAGTCAGGTAGTGTGATGCTCCTGTTTTCTCCTTATACCTTGAAGTCTCAAGATAGTTGGTGTCACCTACAATGATTATGGAGAATGGGATGCCAGGACTCCCAGGGCCCAACATTAGATAATAGAATGTTGGCCATGAACCAACCTCAAAGATTTCCATTGAGTAGAAGACAGGCATCCTCATTGCCACACCTCTCTCCTGTCCCATGTTCTAGGAAACCCTTCTAGTAGTTGGCCTTCACCCACTGAACCAAGCTTCAAAACTGGTAAGTGAAGGACCCCTCTTATCTCTGCTTTTGGAAACCTGGGGAGGTAGAAGCCTTGGATTCAAGCGTTGGCTCAGCACCTGCCAGCTCTGTGATTGTGGGCCTGTCTTCCATTGTCTCTGAACCCCAGACACTCCAACAGCGAAAGGGATCTGGGCCCAGCACAGGGCTCAGTGAAATCTCTTAATCTCTAATTTTCTGCTGCTGAGACCTCAGGGTAGAAGGATGAGTGCAAATCAGACATTCTTCTCAGGAAAAATGCTGTGTTTGTTCTGCCTGCATTCCTAACTGGGAGGACAAATGCCTGGGGGCTTGAGAAGGGGAAGGACGGGGAACATTTTTGAGGGTGGTGTATTTGTAGAGAAGTTCTACTTGCCAAGGAATGAGCTCCTGTCTGTCATGATCCAACCCTGGTTGACTTAGTGGAACAAGAGCTTTGCGGTAAGAGAGAACGTAGTTCATCCGTGCACATGACACTTCCACTTACTCGTTCAGCCACTGCCCCATGCTCAGACTGTGCAGTGTGGAACCTTTTCCTATGTTGCCATAACAAATTTCCACAAGCTTCGTGGATGGAAACCACATTTTAAAAAAATATCTCATGGTGCTGTAGCTCAGAAGTATGAAATGCATCATCTCACTGGGCTAAAATCAAGGTGACAGCAAGGCTGCCTTCCCTCTGAATGTTCCAGGCAAGAATCTGCTTCCTCACTTTTCCCAGCTCCTAGAGGCTCCCACATTCCTTGGCTCCTGGTCCCCGTCTTCCTCCCTCAAAGTCCACAAAGGCTGGTCACGCCTCTCACACGGCATCACTCAGACCCTTCTTCCTTGTCCACACCTCTTTCTCTGAATGCTGCTCTGCCTTCTTCCTCATCTTTTAAGGACTTTGGCATTCTATTGGAAACACCAAGATAATCCATCATAATTTCCCTAAAATCATCTAGGATACCCTCCTTTTAAGGTTAGCTGATTAGCAACCGTAATTCCATCTGCAATCTGCATTCCTTTTTTCCATGTAAAATAACATATTCACAAGATATGGCGACTAGGACAGGAACATTTTGGGGTGGGGCGGCATTCTTATCCTTTCCACAAATGGTAAACAAGGTGCATTTGGCCTCTGCTCTTGGACACTGATATTGCAAAGGATTAAATGGGAGGGCAGAAAATGAATGCACCAGTGGACCAATAAATGAATGATCCATTGGGAAGCATCTGTGCATGAGAATGATTGATTGATTGGTTGTTTTTATGAGACGGTGTCTCCCTCTGTGCCCCAGGCTGGAGTGCAGTGGCGGGATCTCGGCTCACCGCAACCTCCACCTCCCAGGTTAAAGCGATTCTCTACACTCAGCTTCCCGAGAGGCTGGGATTACACCCATGTCCCACCACGCCTGGCTAATTTTTTTTTGGTATTTTTTTTTTAGTACAGACAAGGTTTTACCATGTTGCCCAGGCTATCTCAAACTCCCAACCTTAAGGGATCCGCCCGTCTCAGCCTCCCAAAGTGCTGAGATTCGAGGCGTGAGCCAAGGCGCCGAGCCGTATTTTAAAAGAAATAATAGATAATGCTGAGTGTATAATTTCGGGTGACAGAGAAGTTCTCACTGATCAAATAATACTTGTGACCTTAATGAAAAAAATAGATCAACCCCTGGAAGATTGGCGGAAGGATTTTCCACACAGCTGTCAGCCGTGAAGGCACAAAGGTGAAAACAATGTTATGTGGAAGGAAGAGGCTCTGCCTGAAATGCTGGGAATGAGATGGGGAGAATGACAAGACGACTGTGGAGAGACAGAGAGCACTCTGGGTACACAGGAAACTAAGGAGGAACAAGGAGCGTGTGTTTGACACTCACAGCCATTGGACTTACCTCGGGGCTAACTGGGAATCCCTACATGATGAATAGTGACTGACATGAAAATAAGGGAGGCCCAGGTGCATAACTGGAATCTAGGAGACTGTGGAAAAGGCAATTCCCGCCCCCCTGGTGAAATGTGGTGCTGATTTAGACACTAAATGAATGAAAGATGGACACAAGATGTGTTTGTGAGGTAGAGTAATTTGCAGGGAGGGCTTGCCTGCTTTGATTTTTCCTAATTGTTTAATCTTCACTTCATTGATTTCTTTCTGAGATTTATTTTTCCTACATGTAAATCAATACTTGGCAGAGGAGTGAGAGATACATGAGGGGTGGTGCAAAGGAAGAGACCTATTATAATATAACACACAAGGTTCTGAACGGTGGCTCACACCTGTAACCCAACATTTTGGGAGGCTGAGGAGGCTGGATCAAGTGAGATCAGGAGTTCGAGATCAGCCTGGACAACATGGTGAAACCCCATCTCTACTAAATATACAAAAACTAGCTGGGGGTGGTGGCGCATGCCTGTAATACCAGCTATTCGGGAAGTTGAAGAAGGAGAATGGCTTCAACCAGGGAGGGAGAGGTTACAGTGAGCCAAGATCGCGTCATTGCACTGCACCCTAGGTGACAGAGTGAGACTCCATGGCAAAAAATAAAAATAAAGAATACATAAATATAATATAACATACACGAATGACAAAGGCACACCAATTCCAATCATCATTTTTCTATTTCTCTATAATGACTTCTTTGATCCTTTATCCTATCCATAAGAAAATCAGGCGAAAACATCTTCCTTATTTGGCTTTCTGTGAGCATGAGATCATATGGAAAATGTGAAACCCACCAGCGCAGGTCCTGGAATAGAGAACGTGATCTGTTCATGGCACAAAACTTGCCCCTTCACCCAAATCCCCCACCTCACCCCTACTTCCAATCACATTAATGATACAGATAGATCATGGGGAGGTAAAAACTAATATTCTTTGGAGTTCAGATCGTAGACTCAGAGACCAGTGCCAGCACTATCTCCTGGTCACCTTTTGGAGTAATTCACAGAAAGACAGGCTGTATTGAAGCAACAGATGATGGAGGGGGTGGTCTTTCCCCCAGACTCTCGGGTGGAACAGCAGCCTAATATCTGACTCCCAAGATGACAAAAGTAGCATGTTGCCCACGAGCTTCATCATTATTTCCTGGCTGTTTGATATAAGACAGCTCAACCTCACTTATGTTGATTTCAATGTCACTGTTTTTTCCTTTTCTTGGAGAATGTAATTTGTTTGAGTCAAGAGGGTTGTGGATGTAGAAACTGTAAAGCACATTCACTGTGTATCAATCCCAGTCCAGTCTTCCCAGAGAAGACTCTAAACACCTCCCATACTGCACCTGGGGCTGTGCCAATTTCTATCACTCACCATCACTCCAGGGAGACAGAACACACAGGGAATACATTACATAGGCAGGTTCATTACTTATAGATAAGCAGCGAGTGACAACAGAAACCTTCCTTTCAGGGTGAGCCAGTCCCTCAAGGCTCAGAAAAACTGCTCAGGACACATGGAGTCACTTCATGTGCACTGTAGCTGGGGGAAGCCAGAAAGCAGCCCAGCCTGGGTTTTGTACCCTGGAGCCACAGGGAACACTCAGCTAAAGCACTGCATGATGTTCTCCTCCAGGAAGAACAGGAAGACAGCCCAGGCTGTTCTGAGACGTTCCTCCTGATCTCAGGATGTTGCTGTCTTAGCCTATTTTTGTTGCTATAAAAGAACACTTGAGCCTGGGTATCTTCTAAAGAAAAGAGATGTGTTTGGCTCACTGATCTGCACGCTGTACTAGAAGCAGGACACTACCATCTATTTCTGGCTGCGGCCTCAGGCTGCTCCCACACTGACAGAAGAGAAGGGGGTCCTGCGTGTGCAGAGACCACAGAGATCACATGGCAAGAGAGGGAGAAAGGGGGTGTGATGGAGCTTCCAAGCTCTTTTTAAGAATCAACTCTCCAGGGTACTAATAGAGGGAGAACTTGCTAACCCCGTCCTCTGGGGACAGCATTAATCTATTCATGATGGATCCACCCCCATGACCAAAACACCCCTCCCAATAGGCACAACCTCCCACACTGGGGATTAAATTTCAAAGTGGGGTTTGGAGGGGTCAAACATTGAAACAATAGCAGTTGTATCATCAGCACATTCTATTGTTATTATGAAAACTATAACGGAGAAAGCAGGAGAAAGCTGGGTCTCCCGCCTCGTGGGTGCTTGTCCTAAAGAGGTGTTTTATGTGGTTGCCTGGCAACCAAGAAATGAGAGACAATCCACAAAGAGGAACTGCTATGGTTAGCTTCTTATTGGATTCTCATCTTCCTCCAGGTATCGCCAGACACCTGCATGCTGTGATTAGGTACTCAGTGGCCATCATCCTCTTCACCATCCTTCCCTTCTTTCTCCTTCATCGCTGGTGCTCCAAAAAAAAAAGTAAGCCTCACGAAGCAGAGGCCAGAGAACTCAGGGCCCTGTGCGGAAGCAGGATGGGAGCACGCAGGTGTGTGTTCCTCACTGGCAGGAAAGTCTCTGGCCCAAGGCAGGAGCCAGAGGCAGAGCTTTCTAGAGAGAGCACCAGACAACCTGCCCCTGCCTTCAGCTCACAGACCATTGCCTGATTGTGAACTGTATCCTCACGTCCCCTGCAGCCACTCACATCCAGGAGAAGATTCCATGACAGGCAGAAAGTGGGAGATAGAATCAATGGGATGGGAACTGACAGCTATTCATGGAATGGGGTCTTGCACTCAGAGAGATGGAATGTCTGAGTCTGGCTGTTGGCAGCTGAGGGACCTCAGGCACCTATGGCCTCCCCCTGTGTGTTGGTATCTGTTCATGAAATGAGGACCCAGAAGTGCCCTCCCAGCTGTTTCGATTGCTTCCGTCTCCTACAGATGCTGCTGTAATGAACCAAGAGCCTGCGGGACACAGAACAGTGAACAGGGAGGTAGGTCCTCCTAGCCCAGCCTCATGGATACAGTCTTATTCCCTAATAGTCCTGAAAAATGTGAACACCCTCCCTCACTCAGGATTTCCCTCTCTCCAGGACTCTGATGAACAAGACCCTCAGGAGGTGACATACGCACAGTTGGATCACTGCATTTTCACACAGAGAAAAATCACTGGCCCTTCTCAGAGGAGCAAGAGACCCTCAACAGATACCAGCGTGTGTATAGAACTTCCAAATGCTGAGCCCAGAGCGTTGTCTCCTGCCCATGAGCACCACAGTCAGGCCTTGATGGGATCTTCTAGGGAGACAACAGCCCTGTCTCAAACCCAGCTTGCCAGCTCTAATGTACCAGCAGCTGGAATCTGAAGGCGTGAGTCTCCATCTTAGAGCATCACTCTTCCTCACACCACAAATCTGGTGCCTGTCTCTTGCTTACCAATGTCTAAGGTCCCCACTGCCTGCTGCAGAGAAAACACACTCCTTTGCTTAGCCCACAATTCTCTATTTCACTTGACCCCTGCCCACCTCTCCAACCTAACTGGCTTACTTCCTAGTCTACTTGAGGCTGCAATCACACTGAGGAACTCACAATTCCAAACATACAAGAGGCTCTCTCTTAACACGGCACTTAGACACGTGCTGTTCCACCTTCCCTCGTGCTGTTCCACCTTTCCTCAGACTATTTTTCAGCCTTCTGGCATCAGCAAACCTTATAAAATTTTTTTGATTTCAGTGTAGTTCTCTCCTCTTCAAATAAACATGTCTGCCTTCATTCTTTAGGTGACTCTTTTTTTGGCTGAAAGTTTCCAGTGTTATCATTACCATGTCCAAATAACTCCAACTGTTCTCCACTGGGTTCTCACCCCTGGACTCTGAGCTTCTGGAAGCAGGGTGGAGCCTCATTTGTCTCTGAGACTCCAATTTCCATCCAAAGATGCAGCACATAAGAGGTTCCAAGGATCGTGAATCACATGAACAAGTGATATTCTTACTCTCTGCAGACCTGGAAAGCTGGCAGAGTCATTCCATGATGAAACATTTGTAGAGTCATAGGCCTTGTTAGTCTCATCTCCACGGGGACACATATCAACACATCATCTTTCATACTATAAATATACAGTCGGTCCTCTGTATCTGTGGGATTTACAGGTGTTTATTGAACCAAATATAAATCAAAAATATTCAGAGAAAAAATCCACAAAGTTTCAAAAAGCAAAACTATGTTGAATGGACACAAATGAAGCTGTGTGTAGGCTGTATCAGGAATTATAAATAATCAAGGGATGATTTCATGTACACAGGAGGATGTGCATGGGTTATTTGCAAATGCTGTGCCATTTCATGTAAGAGGCTTGAGCATCTGCAGATTGTGCTATCTGAGTGGAGATCCTGAGACCAATCACCCACGAATAATGAGGGATGACTGTATATAATTTTTATTTCTCAATTTTAAATATAAAACATAAAAAAATTACAATAACAAGATAAAATAAACAAGTGTTTTATAGTGTGAGAATACTTTTAGATATATTTTTCTCCATGTGTAACCCTTGGGCCCATGTTATTTATTGAGAAGACATTCTATTCCACCTTAAACCACATGGCAGCCTTTGTCAACTATAAAGGGACTGTGTGTACACGGATGTATTTTAGACACTGTTTTCTGCTCAGTGGCTCTCTCTCTGTCCACTCTCTTGAGAATGCTGCATTTTATGCAGCCTTATACAACCCCTAAAATTTGGTAGCTGGAGTCCTCTAGTTATTTATTATAGGCTATTTGCTATGCTTTTTTTATTTTTCTTGAGGCAGAGTCTCGCTCTGTTGCCCAGGCTGGAGTGCAGTGGCACGATCTCGGCTCACTGCAACTTCTGCCTCCCAGGTTCAAGGGATTCCGTGCCTCAGCCTCTTGAATAGCTGGCATTACAAGTGCCTGCTACCAGGCATGGCTAATTTTTGTATTTTTAGCAGAGACATGGTTTCACTATATTGGCCAGGCTGGTCTCAAACTCCTGACCTCGGTTGATCACTCACCTCGGCTTCCAAAGTGCTGGGGAAATTGATTTTCTATAGCATTATGTTACTGGATATTTCTGTAAAATTTAAAATGAGGGAGGCAGAGAGACAGAGAGAGAGCAAACCATGAGTTGGAACTCTGGAATCTTGGGACATGAGACAAATTCTAGATAAATCTACAAAAATCCAGAATTTACATGTTGTGATTTTTGCTGATAAAGTACAATTCTAAGATTGTAAATAATTGCATAATCCTTCCCTGGGAGTTTAAATCATTTGAACTGGTTCTGCTGTAATACTAGAAATACAATCATGAAAAATTCTAATGGTTTATTAGTCACAATTGCTCTGAAAACCTTAATAATACCTATTAGATATTTTGCATATTACACAGGAAGAAGAGTTTGAATCTCAGATAAAAGCAATAAAAATACATGAAAAGTCTTTCATGTTAGCACAGATTTTAGGCATCTCGTGTTCAGGAGGTTGGATCTGAGACGTGTTTTGAGTTGGTCATAGTGAAGGACGCGAGGTGTCAATTCTAGTGAGAGCAATTTCCAGGAAGCCATGCTCCGCTCTTGAGCGAGCACCCACTGGGCCTCATGCAAGGTAGAAAGAGCCTGCGTACGTCACCCTCCCATGATGTGGTCAACATGTAAACTGCATGGGCAGGGCGCCAAATAACATCCTGTGCGCTGCTGAGCTGAGCTGGGGCGCAGCCGCCTGTCTGCACCGGCAGCACCATGTTGCTCATGGTCGTCAGCATGGCGTGTGTTGGTGAGTCCTGGAAGGGAATCGAGGGAGGGAGTGCGGGGATGGAGATCTGGACCTGGAGGTAAAGATATGGGCCTAGAGGTGGAGTTATGGGCCTGGAGGTGGAGTTATGGGCCTGAAGTGGAGATCTGGGCCTGGAGTGGAGATCTGGGCCTGGAGTGGAGATAGGGGCCTGGGGTGGAGATATGTGCCTGGAGTGGAGATCTGGGCCTGGAGTGGAGATATGGGCCTGGGGTGGAGATATGTGCCTGGGGTGGAGATATGGGCCTGGAGGGGAGATATGGGCCTGGAGGGGAGATGTGGGCCTAGAGGTGGAGTGATGGGCCTAGAAGTGGAGCGATGGGCCTGGAGTGGAGATATGGGCCTGGAGGTGGAGTTATGGGCCTGCAGTAGAGATATGGGCCTGAAGTGGAGATATGGGCCTGGAGTGGAGATATGGGCCTAGAGGTGGAGTTATGGGCCCGGAGGTGGAGTTAAGGGCATGAAGTGGAGATCTGGGCCTGGAGTGGAGATATGATCCTGGAGTGGAGATATGGGCCTGGGGTGGAGATACGGGCCTGGAGCAGACATACAAGCCTGGAAAGGAGATATGGGCCTGGAGAGGAGATAGAAGCCTGGAGTGGAAATATGGGCCTGGAGTGGAGATATGAGCCTGGAGTGGATATATGAGCCTGGAGTTGAGATAGGAGCCTGGAGTGGAGATATGGGCCTGGAGTGGACTTATCAGCCTGGAGAGGAGATATGGGTCTGGAGTGGAGATACGGACCTGGAGTGGAGATCTGGGCCTGTTGTGTAGATCTAGGCCTGGAGGTAGAGATCTGGGCCTGGAGGCTGAGTCTCTGCACAGCCGAGATCCTTGTTCCTGGGGGCAGGTAGGCAGCGAGGGTGAGTTTACCTTCAGCCCAGCAAGGGCCTGGCTGCCAAGACGCACAACCCAGTGGGGGCAGCAGGGTGCCCTGGTTTGCCTGCAGATGGATGGTCCATCATGATCTTTCTTTCTAGGGTTGTTCTTGGTCCAGAGGGCCGGTCCACACATGGGTGAGTCCTTCCCCAAACCTTAGGGTGTCATCTCCCCACATAAGAGGATTTTCCTGAAATGGGAGGGAAGTCCTGTCGGGGAGTCTCTCATACACTAGGAAGAGGGGACCCTCGGATGCTCGGCCCACATTTCTGACCTTGCCCTCCCCGGCCTTTCTTTCCCTTTCCTGAGTCAAGCTCTGTGAAGACTGGGGTGAGACTAGGGTGCTCCAAGATGGGTGTGCAGGGAGGAAGTGGTGTCAGCAGCAGAGAAAGAGAGGGAAGCAGTGCTAGGAACAGCAGGTCCTCTGAGGACAAAGGTGTAACTCACACCCTCCAGCGTTTCCGTGATGGTAGGGGCTGCAGTGTGGCTGCGGTCTTTCTACCAGAAAAGGTGAGGAAACCACAGCCATGGCCCTGACATTCCAAATCCTCTGATGGGGGCTCAGTTCATCAATTGGCTGATATTCCATTCACATAGGACTTGCCCTCCATGCCGTGTCTACTTTGTATTGTTTTATATGAGTAATTTTGCAGTATTAAAATCTAGTAAGAGTTGCTTCTCCAGCACTTGCTCAAAGTTCTCAGCTGACACTTGTTGTAGGGAGACGCCATGTCTATGCAGGATGGGTCCTTCCTGTAGCCCTGGGCACCCAGGTGTGGTAGGAGCCTTAGAAAGTGGAAATGGGGAGAATCTTCTGGGCACTGGGAGTGAGGGGCGGCTCCACATCCTCCTCTCTAAGGCAGTGCCTCCTTCTCCCCCAGGTGGTCAGGACAAGCCCTTCCTGTCTGCCTGGCCCAGCGCTGTGGTGCCTCGCGGAGGACACGTGACTCTTCGGTGTCACTATCGTCATAGGTTTAACAATTTCATGCTATACAAAGAAGACAGAATCCACGTTCCCATCTTCCATGGCAGAATATTCCAGGAGGGCTTCAACATGAGCCCTGTGACCACAGCACATGCAGGGAACTACACATGTCGGGGTTCACACCCACACTCCCCCACTGGGTGGTCGGCACCCAGCAACCCCATGGTGATCATGGTCACAGGTCAGAGGCTTTCCGTCTGGGCTTCTCACTGTCCCACCTCCTGAATCCCAGAGCTTCTGGTGGGGCTGTCCGTCAGGGTCCCATCACCCAGGCCCTGGCTGTATTTGGGGTCAAGGGAGATTGAATACAGGGCAAATGGGTGCTGTGGTGGGAAGAATAACTGTCCCCAATGATGGCTACATTGTAATCCCTGGAGCCTGTGACTATTTATGTTATAGGGCAGGGGACTGAAGGGGAAGGTGGAGCTCAGGTTGTTGATGAGTTGACCTTGAGATGGGGAGACAGCCTGGACTGTCCCACTGGGCTCAGTGTAATCACAAGGGTCCGCGTGAGAGGTGGAGGAAGAGGGGAGTGGGGATTAGAGCAGTGTAGTGGGAGGGAGACGCTATCAGCCACTGCGGGCTTTGAAAGTGGAGGAAGACCACTAGTCACAGAATGCAGGTGGCCTCTAAGGGCTGGAGAAGTCAGGAGAACTGATTCGCTGATTCTCCAGAGGGAACGCAGCCCTGTAGACGCCTTGATTTCAGCACAGGGAGAACTGGATCCAATTTCTGTCTCCAGAAGTGGAAGGGGTCAGTGTGTTCTCTCCTGCTGCCATGTTTGTGGTAATTTTCTGCAGCAGCAACAGGAAACCAACACAGGAACCCAGGTCAAGGACAAGTTAGGAACCCAGGTCAAGGACAAGTTAGGAAACCAAACAAGGACAGCCAGGTGTGGTGGTGGGCGCGAGTAATCCAACGACTGGGGAGGCTGAGGCAAGAGAATCACTTGAACTGGGGAGGCAGAGGTTTCAGTGAGCCAAGACAACACCACTACACTCCAGCCTGGGTGAAAAAGTGACTGTCTCAAAAATAAATTAATTAATCAATTAATTAAAGAAACCAAACAAGGAGAAGGTTGGCTACCCTGAGATCAGCAAGGGCAGGATGCTGATGTTACCACCAGGCTCCATCCACATAGGAAGGGGTTGATGCTCCTGGAACCAGCACCAGGGGCCACCCTATGGAAGCTGGGGCCATGGAGAAGGCACAGACATGGCAGGAGAGGCTCCCAATCCCCATCAGGAACAGGGTGTGTGGTCACTGATGTCTGTCTTACTGATGAGTTGATACCACCTGCCAGAGACTCCAATTTGTTCAAAAGAGATTGATTCAGGCTGCTAAGAGCCTGGACATGCAGCCTGTCCTCTTCCACCCCCATATAAACAGCAGGAAAGAGATTAGTGGGAAACAGATACAACAGCCCAAGAGATGAGGCTGTCTTCACAGTGGCAAGGGAGTCAGGGGCTACTGGAGACAGAGGGACAGAGAAGAGGGAGGAAGACAGATGGAGGCACCTGCACCAGGGGATATGGGCACAGAAAAGACACGGAGATGCAGAGAGGGAGGAGAGAGACAGACACGGGGAGGGGAACCCTCACTCATTCCAGGTGCCATGGATGGGATGATAAAGAGAGATGCCTTCTAAACTCACAACTTCTCTTTCTAGGAAACCACAGAAAACCTTCCCTCCTGGCCCACCCAGGTCCCCTGGTGAAATCAGGAGAGAGAGTCATCCTGCAATGTTGGTCAGATATCATGTTTGAGCACTTCTTTCTGCACAAAGAGTGGATCTCTAAGGACCCCTCACGCCTCGTTGGACAGATCCATGATGGGGTCTCCAAGGCCAATTTCTCCATCGGTTCCATGATGCGTGCCCTTGCAGGGACCTACAGATGCTACGGTTCTGTTACTCACACCCCCTATCAGTTGTCAGCTCCCAGTGATCCCCTGGACATCGTGGTCACAGGTGAGAGTGTCTAGACATTGTTCTCATTGTCACTGGGACACAGAGTGAATGATCCAGGACTTGGAACCCCCAGGTGGTCATGAGGAAGATAAGTGTGGGATTCTTATGGAAAGAGAGTGACTTGGTGAGGTCTGTACCAACAGAGACAGAGAAACAGGAGACATAAGTACAGAACAGGTGTCATAACAGGGGACAGACACAGGGGCCATACAGGGAGGTAGAAAAGAGAGAAAGAGGTAAAGGAGACACTCAGACAGACAGACATGTCCCAGAGAGAGGTGTCCTTCCATGCTGACTTTGCTCAGAGACCTGGCACAGGTTAGAAGTTTCATTTCTGTTTTACCTCCACAAAGTGTTTCTACCAGAAGAACCCAAGGACACCCATATTTCTGACCTGAGTTGGGCCCTGTGGCCTCAGGCCTTGTGCCACCTACAGATGCCGTGTTTATTCTGACACCTCTGCCTTCCATGCAATGGAGAGTAATCATCCCAGGATATCATGGCCCCAGAACACCAACCCCTGTATGCTGTGTGAACTTGGGGTCCCCAGACTGGATTCTGAGGCTCATATTCCAAATAATCCCACATATGATAGGATCGCTGAGAGACACAGAGAAAAATCAGGGACACCAAAAAGCAAAGACATAAACACACACAAAATGAGCCAGAAGAAGGAGATTAAGAGATTCACAGACACATAAAAAGAAAGAAAAGAGGGCAGAGTGGAGAGAATGATGGAAAGGAGGAGAGAAAAGCCCCAAAATCAGAACCCTGAGGGAGGGACACAAAGACAGAGAAAGATAAAGATGTGGGGATGGATTGCAGAGATTCCAAATAGAACTAGAGAGACTGAGAGGCAGAGAAAGACAAGGAGACGGAGAGAGAGAGATGATAGATGGATAGATAGACGTAGATAGATGATAAATAGGTAGATGATAGATAATGGATTGGTTATAGATACATAGATGATGACTGATAGATGATACATAGAGATGATGATGATGACGATGATGATGATAGACACATAGATATATACATAGATGATACATAAATAGAGACAGAGAGGCAGACAGAGAGGTAATAGAGAGAGAGATAGATGATACATATATAGATAATAGATGATTGATGGATAGATAGACAGATAGACAATTGATAGAGAGATAGATAAGTGATACATAAATATAGATGATAGATAATTTGTAGATAGACACAAAATAGATAAATAGATAGATCGATAGATAATAGATAGAAATGTGCAGAAAGTTATGAACAAGACAGAAAGTGAGAGACTCAAAATTAAAGAAAAAGGAAGATCAAGTCAACCAATCCAAGGAGGGTCAGAGAGAATAAAACAATCCAAAAAGGGAAAACATACCTCAGGGTGGGGAAGTGAGGTCATAGACCTAGAGAGACAGAAAAGGTAGAAGGAGGAAACAGATATGAAGAGAGATGGGGTGGAGAGTGAGAGAGAGAGAGAGAGCATTAGGTCATAGAGCAGGGGAGTGAGTTCTCAGCTCAGGTGTGAGGGGAGCTGTGACAAGGAAGAACCTCCCTGAGGAAACTGCCTCTTCTCCTTCCAGGTCTATATGAGAAACCTTCTCTCTCAGCCCAGCCGGGCCCCAAGGTTCAGGCAGGAGAGAGCGTGACCTTGTCCTGTAGCTCCCGGAGCTCCTATGACATGTACCATCTATCCAGGGAGGGGGGAGCCCATGAACGTAGGCTCCCTGCAGTGCGCAAGGTCAACAGAACATTCCAGGCAGATTTCCCTCTGGGCCCTGCCACCCACGGAGGGACCTACAGATGCTTCGGCTCTTTCCGTCACTCTCCCTACGAGTGGTCAGACCCGAGTGACCCACTGCTTGTTTCTGTCACAGGTGAGAAAAGCCCATATCTCTCTCATGTCCTATGATCCTAAATCCTTAGCTAAGGAGCTTCCTGCTGATGATGGAGAAAAGCATGGACAGATGCAGAGAGAAGACACAGCAGGTGTGAGGGCGGAGTCAGGGCGCAGGATGGCAGACAGGGCACCTCCAAACCCTCCTTCATGGCCTGCATGGAGGCCTCCGATCAGGGCTCCAGGCACCCAGGCAGATGGAGAAAGCGGTCAGGACAGACCCAGAGAAGGGGAGACTGGGCTTAGTTTGGGGAGATCAGAGGTTCCCTCAGCCCCTCAATCTTACCCATTTCCCAGAAGCCCATCATGGCCTCTCACCCACACAGAGAGATATCATCACCAGCAACCCCTACACCCTTTTCTTTTCATTTTCAAAAATATTTATTGAGGTTAAATGTAACTATATAATTTACCACCTTTACCATTTTTAAAAGTAAAATCTAGTGGTCATAAATACCTTTATATGCTGGGCGTGGTGGTTCACAGTTGTAATCTCGGCGCTTTGAGAGGCCAAGGAAGGTGGATCATTTAAGATCAGGAACTCGAGATCACCCTGGCCAACATGTGGGAAATTCATCTTTACTAAACAGACAAGAAAAATTAGCCGAGCATGCTGGCATGCACCTGTAGTCCTAGCTACTTGGGAGGCTGAGGCAGGAGAAGCACTTAAAGCCAGGAGGCCGAGGTTGCACTGAGCCGAGATCATGCCACTGCACTGCAGCCTGGGAGACAGAGAGAGACTCTGTTTCTAAATAAATAAATACATCTATATTCTTTTTTTTGTTACCCTCCACCCTTCCCTTCCTGGCCTCTGGTGTCCACCATTGTATTCTCCACCTTCATGAGATCCACCTTTTATCTCCTGCATGTGGGTGAGAAATGGGAATCTTTGTAATGACCTCCAGTTCCATCCATGTGGCTGCAAATGACAGGATGTTATTGTTTCTATGGATGAGTAGTCTCCACTGTGTGTGTGTACCACAGTTCTCTATCCATTCACCCACTGATAGGCAGGTAGGTTGACTCCACATCTTGGCTACTGTGAACAGTGCTGGAACAGTCATATGAGTGCAGATATCACTTCGATACACTGATGTCCTTTCCTTTGGATATAAACCCAGTAGTGAAATTGCTGGATACTATGAAAGTTCTCTTTTTTTTTTTTTTCTTTTTTGAGAAAGAGTTTCCCTCCTTAGTCCAAGCTGGAGTCTAAGTGGTGAGATCTTGGCTCATTGCAACCTGTGCCTCCTAGGTTCAAATGATTGTCCTGACTCAGCCTCCCTAGTAGCTGTGATTACAGGTGCATGCCACCATGCCTGGCTAATTTTTGTATTTTTTTAGCACAGACGGGATATCCCAATTTTGGGCAGGCTGCTCTCAAACTCCTGACCTCAAGTGAGGTGCCTGCCTCGGTTTCCCAAAGTGCTGAAATTACAGGCATAAGCCACTATGCCCAGCCTCCTTTTAGTTTTTTAAAGAATTTCCATACTTTTCTCCATAATAGTTGTACTAATTTACATTCCTACCAACAGGGTACCAGGGTTCTCCTTTCTCTACCATCTTGCCAGCATTTGTTTTGCCTGTCTTGCAGATAAAAGCCATTTTACTTTACTTTATTTTATTTATTTATTTATGTTGAGATGGAGTTTCACTCATAGTCGCCCAGGCTGGAGTGCAAGGGTGTGATCTCAGCTCACTGCAACCTCCGCCTCCCGCGTTCAACTGATTCTCCTGCCTCAGCCTCCAAAGTAGCTGGGATTACAGGCGTGTGCCACCACGCCTAGCTAATTTTTGTATGTTTAGTAGAGAGGGAGTTTCTCCATGATGGTCAGGCTGGTCTCCCGACCTCAGGTGATCCGCCCACCTCCGCTTCCTGAAGTGCCGGAATTACAGGCGTGAGCCACCGGCCTAAAAGGCATTTTAATGGGATGAGATGAAAACTCATCGCGATTGTAATTTACATTTCTCTGATGATGAGTGATGCCGAGTACTTTTTCATATACGTGATCGCCATTTCTATGTTTTGTTTGTGGAGAAATGTCTCCTCATGTCTTTTGCTCGTTTTTTAATTAAATTGTTTTATTGAGTTGTTTGAGCTTCTTATATTTCCAGTTATTAATCCCGTCTCAGATGAATAGTTTGCAAATATTTGCTCCTATTTTGTGGGTTGTCTCTTCACTTTCTTGGTTTATCTTTTGTGGTGCAGAAGTTGCTTGGTTTGATGTAATCCTAATGGTCTATTTTTTGCTTTGATTACTTGTGTTTTGAAGGTTTTAAACAAAATGTCTTTCGTCAGACAAATGTCTTCCCCATTATTTTCTTCTACATGTTTCATAGGTTCAGGCCTTAGACTCATGTTTTTAATCCATTTTCATTTGATTTTTGTTTATGGTGACAGGTATAGATGCAGTTTTATTCCTCTGCATGTAGATATCCAGTTTTCCCCACACCATTTATTGAAAAGACTGTCCTTTCCTGATTGTGAGTTCTTGGCACCTTTGTCAAAGTCCATTAAATGGGCTGGGTATGGTGGCTCACACCTGCAATTCCAGCACTTTGGGAGGCCGAGGCGGGTGGATCACCTGAAGCCAGGAGTTCAAGACCAGGCTGGCCAACAGAGTGAAACCTCGTCTCTACTAAAAATACAAAAATTAGCTGAGCATGGTGACCAGTGCCTGTAATACCACTACTCGGGTGTTTGAGGCAAGAGAATTGCTTGAATCCAGGAAGTGGAGGTTGCATTGAGCTGAGATTGCACCTCTGCACTCCAGCCTGCATGACAGAGCAAGATTCCATCACACACACACAAAAAAAAGCCATTGGGTGTAAATGCATGGATCATATCCGTGTTCTCCATTCTGTTCCATTTTTTATGTGCCTTTCTTTATGCCAATGTCATGCTGTTTTGCTTACTACAGCTCTGTAACATATTTCTAAGTCAGGTAGTGTGATGCTCCTGTTTTCTCTTTATACCTTCAAGTCTCAAGACAGTGGGCATCGCACACAAAAATTATGGAGAAGAGGATCCCAAGACTCCCAGGGTCCAACATTAGATAACAGAGTGTTGGCCATGAACCAACCTCAAAGATTTCCATTGAGTAGAGGACAAGCACCCTCATTTCCTCACATCTCTCCTGTCCCATGTTCTAGGAAACCCTTCAAGTAGTTGGCCTTCACCCACAGAACCAAGCTCCAAATCTGGTGAGTAAAGGACCCCTCTTATCTCTGCTTTTGGAAACCTGGGGAGGTGGAAGCCTTGGATGCAAGCGTTGGCTCAAACCTCCCAGCTCTGTGAATGAGGGCCTGTCTTCCACCATCTCTGAACTCCAGACACTCCAACAGTGAAAGGGATCTAGGGCCACCAAAGGGCTCAGCGAAGTCTCTTAACCTTTAATGTCCTGCAGGTGAGACCTCCTACAAGCTAGAAGAATGATTGCCAATCTGACATCCTTCTCAGGAAAAATGCAGTGTTTTTTCTGCCTGCATTCCTAACTGGAGGATAAATTCCTGGGGACTTGAGAGAGGGAAGGGAAGGGAACATCTCATGAGGGTGGGTGTTTTAGAGAAGTTCCACTTGCCAAGGAATGAATTACTGTTGGTCATGAAGCAACCCTGGCTGACTCAGCAGAGCAAGAGCCTTGCCGTAACAGAGAACAGAGCTCATGCACGCACACTTCGACTCACTGACTCATTCAGCCACGGCCCCATGCTCAGGCTGTGCAGTTGGAATCCTTTCCTATTGTTGCCATAACAAATTTCCACAAGATTCGTGGGTGAAAATAAAGCGGCTTTTTAATTATCTTACAGTGCTGTAGCTCAAAGTATGAAGTGCATCTCACTGGGCTAAAAACAAGGTGACAGCAAGGCTGCCTTCCCTCTGAGGGTTCCAGGCAAGAATCTGCTTCTCACTTGTCCCAGCTTCTAAAGGCTCCCAGTTCCTTGGCTCCTGGTCCCCTTCCTCCTTCCTCAAAGCCCACAAAGACTGGTCACATCTCACATGGCATCACTCAGACCCTTCTTCCTTACCACACCTCTTTCTCTGAATGCTGCTCTCCCTTCTTCCTTATCTTTTGAAAACTTGGGGATTCTATTGGGTTCACCAAGATGAAAATCCATCATAATCTCCCGGAAATCATTCAGGATACCCTTGTTTTAAGTTCAGCTGACTAGCAACCGTAATTCCATCTGCAATCTTCATTCCTCCTTTCCATGTAAAATAACATATTCACAAGCTATGGAGGCCAGGACAGGGACATTTTGGGGTGGGACAGCATTCTCCTGCCTTCCACGAACGGTGAACAAGATGCATTTGGCCTCTGCTCTTGGGACACTGATATTGCAGATGGTTAAATGGGAGGGCAGAAAATGAATGCACAAGTGGACCAATAAATGAATGATCCATTGGGAAGCATCTGTGCATGAAATCTATTTGTTTGTTCGTTCATTTATTTATTGAGACAGAGTCTCCCTCTGTCTTCCAGGCTACAGTGCAGTGTCACGATCTTGGCTCACTGCAACCTGCGTCTCCTGGATCCAAGTGATTCTCCTGCCTCACCCTCTCGAGTAGCTGGGATTACAGGCAACTGCCACCATGCCCGGCTAACTCTTTTTGTATATTTTTTGTAGAGAGGATGTTTCACCATGTTGGCCAAGCTTGTCTGAAACTCCCAACCTCAAGTGATCCGACCATCTCAGCAACCCAAAGTACTGGGATTACAGGCGTGAGCCACTTTGCCCAGCCAGAATTCAAAATCAATAATAGATAATGCTGAGTGTATAATTTTGGGTGACAGAGAAGGTCTCACTAATCAGATATTTGTGACATTAATGAAAAACACGGATTGAACCCCTGAAAGATTGGCGGAAGGATTTTCCACACAGCTGTCAGCTGTGAAGGCACAAAGGTGAAAACAATCTGATGTTGAAGGAAGAGGCTCTGCCTCAAATGCTGGGAATGAAGTGGGGAGAATGACAAGACGACTGTAGAGAGACGGAGAGCACACTGGGTACACAGGAAACTAAGGAGCAACAAGGAGTGTGTGTTTGACACTCACAGCCATTGGATTCACCTCGGGGTAACCAGGAATCCCTACATGATTAATATGACTGACATGAAAATAAAGGAGGCCCAGGTGCGTAACTGGAATCTAGGAGACTGTGGAAAAGGCAATTGCCACCCCACTGGTGAAATGTGGTGCTGATTTAGACCCTAAGTGGATGAAGCAGATGGATATAAGCTATGCTTGGGAGGTAGAATCATTTGCAGGGAGGGCTTGCTGGGTTTGAGTTTCCTAGTTGTTTAATCCTTGCTAAATTAATTTCTTTCTGAGATTTATTCCTCCTACACATAAATCAATACCTGGCAAAGGAGTGACAGATATATGAGGGGTGGTGGAAATGAAGGGACCTATTATAGCATAGTATACAAGTCTGTGAACGGTGGCTCACTCCTGTAACCCAGCACTGCAGGAGGCTAAGGCCAGTGGATTCCAAGAAATCAGGAGTTCGAGACCAGCCTGGCCAACATGGTGAAACCCTATCTCTACATGGTGAAACCCTATCTCTCCTAAAAATACAAAAATTAGCCGAGCATGGTGGTGCATCCCTGTGATCCCAGCTCCTGCTCTGGAGGATGAAGCAGGAGAATGACTTCAACCCAGGAGGTGGAGGTTGCAGTGAGTGGAGATCGCATCACTGCACTCCAGCCTGGGTGACACAAGGAGACTCCGTCTCAAAAAATAAAAATAAGAAATGCATAAATATAATAAAACACACACGAACGACAAAGGCACCTGAATTCCCATCATCATTTTTCTATTTCTCTATAATTACTTCTTTGATTCTTTATCTTATCCATTAGACAATCAGCCTAAAACCTCTTCCGTATTTGGCTTTCTGTGAGCATGAGATCATATAGAAAATGTGAAAGCCCGCTGAATCCTCCAGCACAAATCCTGGAATAGAGAAAGTGCTCTGGTCATCACAAAAAAAACTTGCCCCCTCACCCAAATCCCCCACCTCACCCCTACTTCCAATCACCTGTGCAGATACAGATAGACCATGGGGAGGTAAATGCTAATACTCCTTGGAGTGAGTCCAGATCTTGGAATCAGAGATCAGTGCCAGCACTAGCTCCTGCTCCCCTTTCCTACTAATTCACAGGAGGACAGGTGGTATTGAAGCAATAGATAGTCGAGGGGGTGGTCCTTCCCCCAGCCTGTCAGGTAGAACAGCAGCCTAACATGTGTCTCCCGAGATCACAAAGAATAGCACATTTCACACGGGCTTCAACACTATTTTCTGGCTGTTTGACATAAGAGAATTCTACTTCGCATTTTTGATCTTGATTTCACTTTTGTTTCCTTTTCTTGGAGAATGCAAGTTGTTTAACTCAAGAATGCCGTGGATGTAGAAATCCTAAAGCACATTCGCTGTGTATCAATCCCAGTCCAGTCTTCCCAGAGAAGACTCTAAACACCTCCTGGACTGCACCTGGGCCTATGCCAATTCCTATCACTCACCGTCACTCCAGGGAGACAGAACACACAGAGAACACATTACACAGGCAGGTTCATTACTAACAGATAAGCAGCGAGTGACAACAGAAGCCTACATTTCAATGTGAGCCAGTTCCCCAAGGCTCAGAAAAGCTGCTCGAGACATGTGGAGTCACCCCATTTGCAGTGTAGCTGGGGGAAGCCAGAAAGCAGCCCAACCTGGGTTTTGTACCCTGGAGCCACAGGAAGCACTCAGCTAAAGCACTGCATCACGTCCTCCTCCAGGAAGAACAGGAAGACAGCCCAGGCTGTTCTGGGACTTTCCTCCTGATCTCAGGACGTTGCTGTCTTAGTCCATTTTTGTTGCTCTAAAGGAACACTTGAGCCTGGGTAACTTCTAAACAAAAGATTTTGGTTTGCCTTACAGTTCCGCAGGCTGTACTGGAAGCATGGCACCAGCATCTATTTCTTGTGACTGCCTCAGGCTGCTCCCACTCTGGCAGAAGGGAAGGAGGGTCTGTCTGTGCAGAGACCACAGAGATCACACGGCAAGAGAGGGAGCAAGGGAGAGGGGGAGTGATGGAGCTTCCAAGCTCTTATGAACAACCAGCTCTCCAGGAACTAATAGAGGGAGAACTTGCTAACCCCGTCTCCTTAAAACAGCATTGATCTGTTCATGATGTATCCACCCCCATGACTCAAACACCTCCCAAGAGGCCCACCCTCCCACACTGGGGGGTAAATTTCAATCTGAGGTTTGAAGGGGTCAAACATCTCAACTAAAGTAGTGGTATCCTCAGCACGTTCTATGGTTACTATGAGAGCTATAACTGAGAAAGCAGGAGGAAGCTGGGTCTCCCGCCATCTGGGTGCTTGTCCTAAAGAGACGCTGTATGTGGTTACCTGTGAATCAAGAAATGCAAGACAATTCATAAAGAGGAACTGCTATGATTAGCTTCTTATTGGTGTCTCCTCTTCTTCCAGGTAACCTCAGACACCTGCACATTCTGATTGGGACCTCAGTGGTCAAAATCCCTTTCACCATCCTCCTCTTCTTTCTCCTTCATCGCTGGTGCTCCAACAAAAAAAAGTAAGTCTCACGAAGCAGAGGCCAGAGAGCTCAGGGCCATGTGGGGAAGCAGGATGGGAGCACACGGGTGTGTGTTCCTCACCAGCAGGATGGTCCCTGGCCCAAGACAGGAGCCACAGAGGCAGGACTTTCTAGAGAGAGCACCAGATTCCCTTCCCCTGCCTTCAGCTCACAGACCATTGCCTGATTCTGAACTGTATCCTCACGTCCCCTGCAGCCACTCACATCCAGGAGAAGGTTCCATGACAGGCAGAAAGTGGGAGATAGAATCAATGGAATGGGACCTCAGAGCTATTCATGGGATGGGTCCTTGAACTCAGAGAGATAGAATGTCTGAGTCTGCTGTTGGCAACTGAGGGACCTCAGGCACCTATGGCCTCCCCCTGTTTGTTGGTATCTGCTTATGAAATGAGGACCCAGAAGTGCCCTCCGAGCTCTTTTGTTGACTTCCGTCTTCTACAGATGCTGCTGTAATGGACCAAGAGCCTGCAGGGAACAGAAGTGAACAGCGAGGTAGGTGCTCCTCGGCCCAGCCTCGTGGCTAGTGTTATTCCCAAAGAGTCCTGAAAAATGTGAGCACCCTCCCTCACTCAGCATTTCCCTCTCTCCAGGATTCTGATGAACAAGACCATCAGGAGGTGTCATACGCATAATTGGAACACTGTGTTTTCACACAGAGAAAAATCACTCGCCCTTCTCAGAGGCCCAAGACACCCCCAACAGATACCAGCATGTACATAGAACTTCCAAATGCTGAGCCCAGATCCAAAGTTGTCTTCTGTCCACGAGCACCACAGTCAGGCCTTGAGGGGATCTTCTAGGGAGACAACAGCCCTGTCTCAAAACTGGGTTGCCAGCTCCCATGTACCAGCAGCTGGAATCTGAAGGCATCAGTCTTCATCTTAGGGCATCGCTCTTCCTCACACCACAAATCTGAATGTGCCTCTCACTTGCTTACAAATGTCTAAGGTCCCCACTGCCTGCTGGAGAAAAAACACACTCCTTTGCTTAGCCCACAGTTCTCCATTTCACTTGACCCCTGCCCACCTCTCCAACCTAACTGGCTTACTTCCTAGTCTACTTGAGGCTGCAATCACACTGAGGAACTCACAATTCCACACATACAAGAGGCTCCGTCTTAACGCAGCACTTAGACACGTGCTGTTCCACCTTCCCTCATGCTGTTCCACCTCCCCTCAGACTAGCTTTCAGCCTTCTGTCAGCAGTAAAACTTATATACTTTTTAAAATAACTTCAATGTAGTTTTCCATCCTTCAAATAAACATGTCTGCCCCCATGGTTTCGGTAATGGGACTCTTTTCTTGCCTAAGGCTTCCGGTGTTATCAGTACCATGTCCATATAATCCCATCTGTTCCCCACTGAGTTCTCATCCCTGGACTCTGATCTTCTGGAAGCAGGGTGGAGCCTCATTTGTCTCTGGGACTCCAATTTCCATCCAAAGATGTAGCACATAGGAGGTTCCAAGGATCGCGAATCACATGAACAAGTGATACTCTTACTCTCTGCAGACCTGGAAAGCTGGCAGAGTCATTCCACAATGAAACATTTGTAGAGTCATAGGCCTTGTTAGTCTCATCTCCATGGGGACACATATCAACACATCTTCTTTCATAATATAAATATACGGTCACTCCTCCATATCTGCGGGGTTTACAGGTGTTTATTGAACCAAGTATAAATCAAAAATATTGAGAGAAAGTATCCACAGAGTTTCAAAAAGCATAACTATGTTAAATGGACACAAATGAAGCTGTGTGTAGGCTGTATCAGGAATTATAGGTAATCTAGAGATGATTTCATGTATACAGGAGGATGTGCATAGGTTATTTGCAAATGCTGTGCCATTTCATATAAGAGGCTTGAGCATCTACAGATTTTGGTATCTGAGTGGAGATCTCAAAACCAATCACCCACGAATAGTGAAGGATGACCGTATATGACTTTTATTTCTCAAATTTAAATATAAATCATAAAAAATGTACAACTAGATAAAAACTAAGAAGTGTTTTTATAGTGTCAGTTAGATTTATTTTTTACTAGGTGTAACCCATTGGTTTAATATTATTTATTGAGAAGACATTCTATGCCACCTTAAACCACACAGCAGCCTTTGTCAACTCTAAAGGGATTGTGTGTACATGGATGTATTTTAGACACTGTTTCTGCTAAGGGGCTCTCTGTGTCCACACTCTTGATGACGCTGCACTTTATGTAGCCTTATAGAACCCTTTAAATTTAGTAGCCAGAGCCCTCTAATTTGTTATTATAGGCTATTTGCTTTTTTTTTCTTGAGGCGGAGTCTTGCTCTGTCGCCCAGGCTGGACTGCAGTGACACAATCTCAGCTCACTGCAACCTCCACCTCCCAGGTTCAAGCGATTCTCGTGCCTCAGCCTCTTGAGCAGCTGGCGTTACAGGTGCCTGCCACCAGGCACGGCTAATTTTTGGATTTTTAGCAGAGACACGGTTTCACTATGTTGACCAGGCTGCTCTCAAACTCCTTATCTCAGTTGATCCGCCCACCTCGGCTTCCCAACGTGCTGGGGAAAACTTGATTTTCTATAGCATTATGTTACTGGATATTTCTGTAAAATTTAAAACGAGGGAGGGAGAGAGACAGAGAGAGATCAAACTCCAGAGTTGGGACTCTGGAATCTTGGGTCATGAGACAAATTTTAGATTAAACTACAAAACTCCAGAATTTACAGGTGTGGTTTTTGCTGATAAAGTACAATTCTAAGATTGTAAATAATTGCATAATCCTTCCCTGGGAATTTAAATCATTTTAGCTGGTTCTGCTGTAATACTAGAAATACAAGCATGAAAAATTCTAATGGTTTATTAGTCACAATGACTCCGAAAACATTAATAATACCTATTAGATACTTTGCATATTACACAGGAAGAAGAGTTTGAATCTCAGATAAAAACAATAAAAATACATGAAAAGTCTTTCACGTTAGCACAGATTTTAGGCATCTTGTGTTCGGGAGGTTGGATCTGAGACGTGTTGTGAGTTGGTCATAGTGAAGGACGCGAGGTGCCAATTCTAGTGAGAACAATTTCCAGGAAGCCGTGTTCCGCTCTTGAGCAAGCACCCACTGGGCCTCATGCAAGGTAGAAAGAGCCTGCGTACGTCACCCTCCCGTGATGTGGTCAACATGTAAACTGCATGGGCAGGGCGCCAAATAACATCCTGTGCGCTGCTGAGCTGAGCTGGGGCGCGGCCGCCTGTCTGCACCGGCAGCACCATGTCGCTCATGGTCATCAGCATGGCGTGTGTTGGTGAGTCCTGGAAAGGAATAGAGGGAGGGAGTGCGGGGATGGAGATCTGGGCCCAGAGGTGGAGATATAGGCCTGGAGGTGGAGTTATGGGCCTGGAGTGGAGATCTGGGCCTGGAGTGGATATATGGGCCTGGAGATGGAGTGATGGGCCTAGAAGTGGAGATCTGGGTCTGGAGTGGAGATATGGGCCTGGAGGTGGAGATATGGGCCTGGAGTGGAGATCTGGGCCTGGAGTGGAGATAGGAACCCGGAGGGGAGATAGGAGCCTGGAGTGAAGATATTGGCCTGGGATGGAGATATGGGCCTGGAGTGGAGACATGGGCCTGGAGGTGGAGATATGGGCCTGGAGGTGGAGATATGGGCCTAGAGGTGGATATCTGGGCCTGGAGTGGACATATGGGCCTAGGATGGAGATATGGGCTTGGGGTGGAGATATGGGCCTGGATTGGAGATATGGGTCTAGGGTGGAAATATTGGCCTGGAGTGGAGATATGGGCCTGGAGTGGAGATATGGGCTTGGGGTGGGGATAGGGGCCTGGGGTGCGGATATGGGCCTGGAGGCTGGGTCTCTACACAGCCGACAGCCCTGTTCTTGGGTGCAAGCAGGCACTGAGGGTGAGTTTCCCTTCAGCCCAGCAAGGGCCTGGCTACCAAGACTCACAGCCCAGTGGGGGCAGCAAGGGAGTCCTGGTTTGCCTGCAGATGGATGGTCCATCATGATCTTTCTTTCCAGGGTTCTTCTTGCTGCAGGGGGCCTGGACACATGAGGGTGAGTCCTTCTCCAAACCTTCGGGTGTCATCTCCCCACATAAGAGGATTTTCCTGAAACAGGAGGGAAGCCCGGTGGGGGATTTTCTTATAAACAAGGATGAGGAGACCCTGGGGTGCTCAGCCCACAGTTCCGACCTTGCCCTCCCCAGCCTTCCTTTCCCTTGGCTGAGTCAGGTTCTGTGGGAACCCGGGAGGGTAGACTGGGGTCCTCCAAGCTGGGCTGTGCGGCTGGGATGTGGTGTCACTGGCAGAGGAAGGGAGCAAAGCAGTGCTAGGAACAGCAGGCCTCTGAGGACAAAGGTGTAACTCACACCCTCCAGCGTTTCCATGACGGTAGGGGCTGCAGTGTGGCTGCTGTCATTCTACCTCAGAGGTGGGGGAACCCCAGCCAGGGCCCTGACCTTCCAAATCCTCTGTTGGGGGCTCAGTTGTGTATTGTGGTTCACACATTGGCTGATATTCCATTCACAAAGAACATGCCCTCGACCCCATGTCTATTTGTGTTGTTTTATGTGAGTAATCTTGCAGTATTAAAATCTAGTAGGAGTCCCTTACTCAGCACTTGCTCAAAGTTCTCAGCTGACACTTTTGTTGTAGAGAGACGCCAAGTCTATGCGGGGTGGGTCCTTCCCGTACCCATGGGCACCCAAGTGTGGTAGGAGCCTTAGAAACGAGGAAAGTGGGGAGAATCTTCTGAGCACTGGCAGGGAGGGGCGGCTCCACATCCTCCTTTCTAAGGTGGCGCCTCCTTCTCCCCCAGGTGGTCAGGACAAGCCCTTGCTGTCTGCCTGGCCCAGCGCTGTGGTGCCTCGAGGAGGACATGTGACTCTTCTGTGTCGCTCTCGTCTTGGGTTTACCATCTTCAGTCTGTACAAAGAAGATGGGGTGCCTGTCCCTGAGCTCTACAACAAAATATTCTGGAAGAGCATCCTCATGGGCCCTGTGACCCCTGCACACGCAGGGACCTACAGATGTCGGGGTTCACACCCACGCTCCCCCATTGAGTGGTCAGCACCCAGCAACCCCCTGGTGATCGTGGTCACAGGTCAGAGGACTCATGTCTGGGCTTCTCCTTCTCCCACTTCCTGAATCCCAGAGCATCTGGTGGGGGTGTCCACCAGGGTCCAATCATCCAGGCCCTGACTGTATTTGGTGTCAATGGGGATTGAATACAGGGGAATGGGTGCTGTGGTGGAAAGAGTAACTGTCGGCAGCATGGCTATATTGTAATCCTTGGAGCCTGTGACTATTTATGTTATAGGACATGGGACTGAAGGGGAAGATGGAGTTCAGGTTGTTGATGAGTTGACCTTGAGATGGGGAGACGACCTGGACTCTCCCACTGGGCTCAGTGTAATCACAAGGGTCCACATGAGAGGAGGAGGAAGAGGAGAGTGGGGATTAGAGCAGCGTAGTGGGAGGGAGAGTCCACCAGCCACTGCGGGCTTTGAAAGTGGAGGAAGGCCAGAAGCCACGGAATGCAGGTGGCCTTTAGGGGCTGGAGAAGTCAATGGAACTGATTCTCCCGAGTCTCCAGAGGGAATGCAGCCCTGCAGATGCCTTGATTGTAGCCCAGGAAGAACAGGGTCTGATTTCTGTCAACAGAAGTGTTCTCTCCCGCCGCCGTGTTTGTGATAATTTTCTGCAGCAACAACAGGAAACAACACAGGAATCCAGGTCAAGGACAAGTTAAAAAACCAAACAAGAGGGTTGGCTACCCTAAGGTCAGCAAGGGTGCACTGCTGATGCCACCACCAGGCTGGAGCCGCATAGGGAGGGATCCACAGGGAGAGTCGGGGGTGGAGGGTGAGAGAGAGAGAGAGCATTAGGTCATAGAGCAGGGGAGTGAGTTCTCAGCTCAGGTGTGAGGGGAGCTGTGACAAGGAAGAACCTCCCTGAGGAAACTGCCTCTTCTTCCAGGTCTATTTGGGAAACCTTCACTCTCAGCCCAGCCGGGCCCCACGGTTCGCACAGGAGAGAACGTGACCTTGTCCTGCAGCTCCAGGAGCTCATTTGACATGTACCATCTATCCAGGGAGGGGAGGGCCCATGAACCTAGGCTCCCTGCAGTGCCCAGCGTCAATGGAACATTCCAGGCTGACTTTCCTCTGGGCCCTGCCACCCACGGAGGGACCTACACATGCTTCGGCTCTCTCCATGACTCACCCTATGAGTGGTCAGACCCGAGTGACCCACTGCTTGTTTCTGTCACAGGTGAGGAAAGCCCATGCCTGTCCCATGTCCTGTGATCCTAGAGCCTTAGCTGAGGAGCTTCCTGCTGATGATGGAGAGAAGCATGGACAGATGCAGAGAGAACACGCAGCATGGTGTGAGGGAGGGATCAGGGCACAGGATGGCAGACAGGGCACCTCCAAACCCTCCTGCACGGCCTGCATGGAGGCCCGCGGCCAGGGCTCCAGGCACCCAGGCAGATGGAGAAAGTGGTCAGGACAGACCCAGAGGAGGGAGACTCGGCTCAGTTTGGGGAGATCAGAGGCTCCCTCAGACCCTAAACCTTACCCATTTCCCAGAAGCCCATACTGGCCTCTCACCCACACAGAGATGTCATCACCAGCAACCCCTACACCCTTTTCTTTCCGTTTGAAAAAACATTTATTTAGGTTAAATGTAACTATATAATTTGCCACCTTTACCATTTTTAAAAGTAAAATCTAGTGGTCATAAATTCCTTTATATGCAGGGTGCAGTGGCTCACAGTTATAATCTCGGTGCTTTGAGAGGCCAAGGAAGGTGGATCATTTAAGATCAGAGGCTCGAGATCAGCCTGGCCAACATGAGGGAAATTCATCTTTACTAAACAGACAAGAAAAATTGGCTGGGCATGCTGGCATGCACCTGTATTCCTAGCTACATGGGAGGCTGAGGCAGGAGAAGTACGTAAGCCCAGGAGGCAGAGGTTGCACTGAGCTGAGATCAGGCCACTGCACTGCAGCCTGGGAGACAGAGAGAGATTCTGTCTCTAAATAAATAAATACATCTATATTCTTTTTTATTGTTGTTGTTACACTCCACCCTTTACTTCCTGCCCTCTGGTAGCCACCATTCTACTCTCTACCTTCATGAGATCCACCTTTTAGCTCCTGTATATGGGTGAGAAATGGGAATCTTTGCAATGACCTCCAGTTCCATCCATGTGGCTGCAAATGTCAGGATGTTATTCTTTCTACGGATGAGTACTCTCCACTGTGTGTGTGTACTACATTCTCTCTATCCATTCACCCACTGACGGGCAGGTAAGTTGACTCCACATCTTGGCTACTGTGAACAGTGCTGCACCAATCGTATGAGTGCAGATATCACTTCGATACACTGATGTCCTTCCCTTTGGGTTTACACCCAGTAGTGGAATTGCTAGATCCTATCAACAGGGTACCAGGGTTCTCCTTTCTCTACCACCTTGCCAGCATTTATTTTGTCTGTGTTTCAGATAAAAGCCACTTTAATGGGATGAGATGATAGCTCACTGTGATTTCAATTGGCATGATTAGTGATACTGAGCACTTTTTCATGTACATGTTCGCCATTTGTACGTTTTGTTTGTTGAGAAATGTCTGTTCAGGTCTTTTACTAATTGTTAAATTAAATTCATTGTTTTATACCGTTGCTTGAGTTTTATGTATATTCTAGTTATTAATCCCCTCTCAGATGCATACTTCACAAATATTTTCTCCCAATTTGTCTCTTCTTCACTTTGTTGGTTGCTTCCTTTGCGGTGCAGAAGCTGCTTACTTTGATGTAATCCCGAAGGTCTATTATTTTGTTTTGATTTCTTGTGTTTTTGAGATTTCAAATAAAATGTCTTTCCTCAGACAAATGTCCTGGAGCATTTCCCCACTCTTTCCTTTTAGACGCTTAATGGTTTCAGGCCTTAAGTGTTTCTTCCATTTTCATTTGATTTCTGTGTATGGTGAGAGGTAGAGGTGCAGTTTCATCAACTGCATGTAGATACCAGTTTTCCCTGCTCCATTTATTGAAAAGACCGTCGTTTCCTGATTGCAGGTTCTTGGCACGTACAATCGTCAAAGTCCATTGGATGTGAATGCATGAATTATATCTGTGTTCTTCATTCTGCTCCATTGCTCTAAGGGCCTTTATGCCAATGTCATGCTGTTGTGCTTACTACAGCTTTGTAACATATTTTTAAGTCAGGGAGTGTGAGGCCTCCAGCACCTGTTTTGTCTTTATACCTCGAAATCTCAGGACACTGGGCATCATTTAACAATGATGATGGAGAAGGGGACGCCAGGACTCCTAGGGCCCAACATTAGATAACAGAGTGTTGGCCATGAACCAACCTCAAAGATTTCCTTTGAGTAGAAGACAGGCATCCTCATTTCCTCACCTCTCTCCTGTCCTGTGTTCTAGGAAACTCTTCAAGTAGTTCATCTTCACCCACTGAACCAAGCTCCAAAACTGGTGAGTAAAGATCCCTCTTATCTCTGCTTTTGGAAACCTGGGGAGGTTGGTATCTTGGATTCAAGCATTGGCTCAGCACCTCCCAGCTCTGTGATTGTGGGCCTGTCTTCTAACATCTCTGACCCCCAGACACTACAACAGCGAAGGGTATCTGAGGACAGCAAAGGGCTCAGTGAAGTCTCTTCATTTCAAATTTCTGCAGCTGAGACCTCCTCCAAGCTAGACGGACGAGTACAAATCTGACATCCTTCTCAGGGATAAAGTGGTGTTTTTTCTGCCTGCATTCCAAATTGGAGGATAAATTTGAGGGGACTTGAGAGAGGGAGGGGAAGGGAACATCTGATGAGGGAAAGGTGATTTAGAGAAGTTCCACTTGCCAAGGAATGAGCCCCTGTTGGTCATGATGCGACCTTGGCTGAGTCAGCAGAGCAAGAGCCTTGCAGTAAGAAGGAACGTAGTTCATCCACAAATATGACACTTCCACTTACTCACTTATTCAGCCACTGCCCTGTGCTCTGACTGTACAGTGTGGAACCCTTTCCTGCTGTTGCCATAATAAATCTCCACAATCTTCATGGATGACAACAACACAGCTTTTAAAATTATCTTACAGTGTTATAGCTCAGAAATATGAAATGCATTTCACTGGGCTAAAATCAAGGTGACTGCGAGGCTGCCTTTTCTCTGAAGGTTCCAGGCGAGAATCGGCTTTTCACATTTCCCAGCTCCCAGAGGTTCCCACGCTCCTTGGCATCTGGTCCCCATCCTCCTTCCTCGAAGCCCACAAAAGCTCATCACATCTCTCACGTGGCATCACTCAGATCCCTCTTCCTTACCTCACCTCTTTCTCTAAGTGTTGCTCTGACTTTTTCTTCCTCTTTTAAAGACTTTGGGATTCTATTGAGTTTACCAAGATAATCCATCACAATCTCCCTAAAATCACCCAAGATAACCTCTTTTTAAGTTCAGCTGATTAGCAACCATAATTCCATCTGCAATCTTTATTCCTCCTTTCATGTAAAATAACATATTCACAAGCTATGGAGGCTAGGACAGGGACATTTTGGGGGTGGGCCAGCATTCTCCTGCCTTCCACAAATGGTAAACACGATGCATTTGGCCTCTGCTCTTAGGACACTGACATTGCAGATGGGCAAATGGGAGGGCAGAATATGAATGCACAAGTGGACCAGTAATGATTGATCCATTGGGAAGCATCCGTGCATGAAATCTATTTACCTATTTATTTATCTATTTATCTATTTATGTATTTATTTATTTGCGGCGAAGTCATTCTCTGTCCCCGGGCTGGAGTGCAGTGGCATGACCTCAGCTCACCACAACCTCCGCCTCCCGGGTTCAGGCGATTCTCCTGCCTCAGCCTCCTGACTAGTTGTGATTCCAGTCCCCTCCACCACACCCAGCTAATATTCTTTTATATTTTTTAGTAGAGATGGAGTTTCACCATGTTGCGCAGATTGTCTCCAACTCCCAACCTCAAGTGATCCGACCGTCTCAGCATCCCAAAATGCTGGGACTCAAGGTGTGAGACACTGCGCCCAGCCGAAATTTAAAATAAATAATAAAGAATTCTAAGTGTATAATTTCAGGAGACAGAGAAAGTCTCACTAATCAGATAATATTTGTGACCATAATGAAAAAAAAAAGTAGATTCAACCCCTGGAAGATTGGCGGAAGGATTTTCCACACACAGCTGTCAGCCGTGAAGGCACAAATGTGAAAACAATCTGATGTGGAAGGAAGAGGCTCTGCATTCAAATGCTGGGAATGAAGTGGGGAGAATGACAAGACGACTGTGGAGAGACGGAGAGCACTCTGGGTACACAGGAAACTAAGGAGGAACAAGGAGCGTGTGTTTGACACTCACAGCCATTGGATTCACCTCGGGGTAGCCAGGAATCCCTACATGATTAATATGACTGACATGAAAATAAGGACGCCCAAGTGCGTAACTGGAATCTAGGAGACCGTGGAAAAGGCAATTCCCGCCCCACTGGTGAAATGTGGTGCTGATTTAGACACTAAATGAATGAAGTAGATGGGTATAAGATATGTCTGTGAGGTAGAATCATTTGTAGGGAGGGCTTGCTGGATTTGATAATGCCTACTTATTTAATTTTGAATATATTAATTTCTTTCTGAGATTTATTTTTCCTACATGTAAATCAATATCTGGCAGAGGAGTGATTGATAGATAGATGAGGGGTGGTGCAAATGAAGGGACTTATTATAGCATAATATACAAGTCTGTGAATGGGAGCTTACGCCTGTAACCCAACACTTTGGGAGGCCAAGGCGTTTGGATCACTTGAGGTCAGGAGTTTGAGACCAGCCTGGCCAACATGGAGAAACCCCATGCTCTTTTTAGCAACCAGTCCTAGGGACCTCATGGAGAACTTGCCAACCACGTCTCATGGGGACAGCATTAATGTATTCATGATGGATCCACCCCCATAACTGGAACGTCTCTCAATAGGCCCAGCCTCCCACACTGCGAGATAAGTGTCAACGTGAGGTTTGGCGGGGTCAAACATCCAAACTATAGCAGTGGTATCCCCAGCATGTTCTCTGATTATTTTGAGAACTATAACTGAGAAAGCAGGAGAAAGCTGGGTATCCTGCCATCGGGGAACTTGTCCTAAACAGATGTTGTATGTGCTTAGCTGGCAACCAAGAAATGAGAGACAATCCATAAAGAGGAACTGCTATAATTAGCTTCTTATTGGATTCCCACCTTCCCCCAGGTATCCGCAGACACCTGCACATTCTGATTGGGACCTCAGTGGCTATCATCCTCTTCATCATCCTCTTCTTCTTTCTCCTTCATTGCTGCTGCTCCAACAAAAAGAGTAAGTCTCACGAAGCAGAGGTCAGAGAGCTCAGGACCATGTGGGGAAGCAGGATGGGAGCACACTGGTGTGTGTTCCTGACTGGCAGGATGGTCCCTGGACCAAGGCAGGAGCCACAGAGGCAGGGCTTTCTAGAGAGAGCACCAGACACCCTGCCCCTGCCTTCAGCTCACAGACCATTGCCTGATTCTGAACTGTATCCTCACGTCCCCTGCAGCCACTGACATCCAGGAGAAGGTTCCATGACAGGCAGAAAGGGGAGACAGAATCACTGGGATGGGAACTCAGAGCTATTCATGGGATGGGTCCTTGAGCTCAGAGAGATAGAATGTCTGGGTCTGGCTGATGACAGCTGAGGGACCTCAGGCACCTACGGCCTCCCGCTGTGTGTTGGTGTCTGCTCATGAAATGAGGACCCAAAAGTGCCCTTCCAGCTGTTTTGATGACTTCTATCTCCTACAGATGCTGCTGTAATGGACCAAGAGCCTGCCGGGGACAGAACAGTGAACAGGGAGGTAGGTTCTCCTCAGCCCAGCCTCATGGATTGAGTCTCATTCCCTAATAGTCTTGAAGAATGTGAGCACCCTCCCTCACTCAGCATTTCCCTCTCTCCAGGACTCTGATGATCAAGACCCTCAGGAGGTGACATATGCACAGTTGGATCACTGCGTTTTCACACAGACAAAAATCACTTCCCCTTCTCAGAGGCCCAAGACACCTCCAACAGATACCACCATGTACATGGAACTTCCAAATGCTAAGCCAAGATCATTGTCTCCTGCCCATAAGCACCACAGTCAGGCCTTGAGGGGATCTTCTAGGGAGACAACAGCCCTGTCTCAAAACCGGGTTGCTAGCTCCCATGTACCAGCAGCTGGAATCTGAAGGCATCAGTCTTCATCTTAGGGGATCGCTCTTCCTCACACCACAAATCTGAACATGCCTCTCTCTTGCTTACAAATGTCTAAGGTCCCCACTGCCTGCTGGAGAGAAGACACACTCCTTTGCTTAGCCCACAATTCTCTATTTCACTTGACCCCTGCCCACCTCTCCAACTGAACTGGCTTACTTCCTAGTCTACTTGAGGCTGCAATCACACTGAGGAACTCACAATTCCAGACATACAAGAGGCTCCCTCTTAACATGGCACTGAGACACGTGCTGTTCCACCTTCCCTCATGCTGTTTCACCTTTCCTCAGACTATTTTCCAGCCTTCTGTCAGTCAGCAGTGAAACTTATAAAATTTTTTGTGATTTCAATGTAGCTGTCTCCTTTTCAAATAAACATGTCTGCCCTCATTGCTTTAGGTAATGTGACACTATTCGCTGAAAGAAACCGCTGTTATCATTACCATGTCCACATAACCCCATCTGTTATCCACTGGGTTCTCTCCCCTGGACTCTGAGCTTCTGGAAGCAGGGTGGAGCCTCATTTGTCTCTGGGACTCCAATTTCCATCCAAAGATGCAGCACATAGGAGGTTCCAAGGATCATGAATCACATGAACAAGTGATATTCTTACTCTCTGCAGACCTGGAAAGCTGGCAGAGTCATTCCACGATGAAACATTTGTAGAGTCATAGGCCTTGTTAGTCTCATCTCCATGGGGACACATATCAACACATCATCTTTCATGCTATATATATATATACAGTCGCTCCTCCGTATCTGTGGGGTTTACAGGTGTTTATTGAACCAACTATAAATAAAAAATATTCAGAGAAGAAAATCCACAAACTTTCAAAAAGCAAAACTATGTTGAAGGGACACAAATGAAGCAGTGTGTAGGCCATATCAGGAATTATAAGTAATCTAGAGATGATTTCATGTATACAGGAGGATGTGCATGGGTTATATGCAAGCGCTGTGCCATTTCATGTAAGAGGCTTCAGCATCTGCAGATTTTGGTATCTGAGTGGAGATCCTGAAACCAATCACCCAGGAATAGTGAAGGATGACCGTATAAAACTGTTATTTCTAAATTTTAAATATAAATCATAAAAAAATTATAAACTAGATAAAAACAAGAAGTGTTTTTATAGTGTGAGAATAAGTTTAGATTTATTTTTTCCTACGTGTAACCCTTTGGTTTAATATTATTTATTGAGAAGACATTCTATGCCACCTTAAACCACAGGGCAGCCTTTGTCAACTCTAAAGGGACTGTGTGTACACGGATGTATTTTAGACACTGTTTCTGCTAAGGGGCTCTCTGTGTCCACACTCTTGAGGATGCTGCACTTCATGTAGCCTTATAAAACCCTTTAAATTTAGTAGCCAGAGCCCTCTAATTTGTTATTATAGGCTACTTGCTATTTTTTTTTTCTTAAGGCGGAATCTTGCTCTGTCACCCAGGCTGGACTGTAGTAGTGCAATCTCAGCTCACTGCAAACTCCGCCTCCCAGGTTCAAGCGATTCTCGTGCCTCAGCCTCTTGAGTAGATGGCATTACAGGTGTCTGCCACCAGGCACGGCTAATTTTTGAATGTTTAGCAGAGACACGGTTTCACTATGTTGGCCAGGCTGCTCTCAAACTCCTCATCTCAGTTGATTCGCCCACCTCGGCTTCCAAACATGCTGGGGGAAACTTGATTTTCTATAGCATTATGTTACTGGATATTTCCGTAAAATTTAAAATGAGGGAGGGACAGAGACAGAGAGGGAGCAAACTCCAGAGTTGGGACTCTGGAATCTTGGGTCATGAGACAAATTATAGATAAAACTATAAAAATCCAGAATTTACATGTGTGGTTTTTGCTGATAAAGTACAATTCGAAGATTGTAAATAATTGCATAATCCTTTCCTGGGAATTTAAATCATTTTAACTGGTTTTGCTGTAATACTAGAAATACAAGCATGAAAAATTCTAATGGTTTATTAGTCACAATGACTCCGAAAACATTAATAATACCTATTAGATACTTTGCATATTACACAGGAAGAAGAGTTTGAATCTCAGATAAAAACAATAAAAATACATGAAAAGTCTTTCACGTTAGCACAGATTTTAGGCATCTTGTGTTCGGGAGGTTGGATCTGAGACGTGTTGTGAGTTGGTCATAGTGAAGGACGCGAGGTGCCAATTCTAGTGAGAACAATTTCCAGGAAGCCGTGTTCCGCTCTTGAGCAAGCACCCACTGGGCCTCATGCAAGGTAGAAAGAGCCTGCGTACGTCACCCTCCCGTGATGTGGTCAACATGTAAACTGCATGGGCAGGGCGCCAAATAACATCCTGTGCGCTGCTGAGCTGAGCTAGGGGTGCGGCCGCCTGTCTGCACCGGCAGCACCATGTCGCTCATGGTCATCAGCATGGCGTGTGTTGGTGAGTCCTGGAAGGGAATAGAGGGAGGGAGCGCGGGGATGGAGATCTGGGCCCAGAGGTGGAGATATAGGCCTGGAGGTGGAGTTATGGGCCTGGAGTGGAGATCTGGGCCTGGAGGGGATATATGGGCCTAGAGATGGAGTGATGGGCCTAGAAGTGGAGATCTGGGTCTGGAGTGGAGATATGGGCCTGCAGTGGAGATATGGGCCTGGAGTGGAGAGAGGAACCTGGAGAAGAGATAGGAACCTGGATGGGAGGTAGGAGCCTAGGGTGGAGATATGGGACTGGAGTGGAGATATGGGACTGGAGTAGAGATATGGGCCTGGAGTGGAGTTATGGGCCTGGAGTGAAGTTATGGGCCTGGAGGTGGAGATATGGGCCTGGAGTGGAGATATGGGCCTGGAGGTGCAGATATGGACCTGGAGTGGAGATATGGCCCTGGAGTGGAGATGTGGGTCTGGAGTGGAGATATGGGCCTGGAGGTGGAGATAAGGGCCTGGAGTGGAGATATGGGCCTGGAGTGGAGATATGAGCCTGGAGATGGAGATATGGGCCTGGAGTGGAGATATGGGCCTGGAGGTGGAGATATGGGCCTGGAGTGGAGATATGGGCCTGGAGTGGAGATATGGGCGTGGGGTGGAGATATGGGCCTTGAGTGGAGATATGGGACTGAAGTGGAGATATGGGTGTGGGGTGGAGATATGGGACTGGAGTGCAGATATGGGCATGGGGTGGAGATATGGGACTGGAGTGGAGATATGGGCGTGGGGTGGAGATATGGGACTGGAGTGGAGATATGGGCGTGGGGTGGAGATATGGGCCTGGAGTGGAGATATGGGACTGGAGTGGAGATATGGGCGTGGGGTGGAGATATGTGCCTGGAGTGGAGATATGGACGTGGGGTGGAGATATGGGCCTGGAATGGAGATATGGGCCTGGAGTGGAGATATGGGCGTGGGGTGGAGATATGGGACTGGAGTGGAGATATGGGCCTGTTGTGGAGATATGGGCTTGGAGTGGAGATATGATCCTGGAGTGTAGTTATGGGCCTGGAGGTGGAGATCTGGGCCCAGGGTGGAGATATGGGCCTGGAGTGGAGATATGGGCCTGGGGAGGAGATATGGGCCTGGAGTGGAGATATGGGCCTGGACTGGAGTTATGGACCTAGGGTGGAGATCTGAGCCTGGATTGGAGATGTGGGCCCAGATTGGCTATATGGGCCTAGGGTGGGAATATCAGCCTGGAGTGGAGATATGTGCCTGGAGTGGAGATATGGGCTTGGGGTAGGGATATGGGAATGGAGGCTGGGTCTCTGCACAGCCGAGAGCCCTGTTCTTGGGTGCAGGTAGGCACTGAGGGTGAGTTTCCCTTCGGCCCAGGAAGGGCCTGGCTACCAAGACTCACAGCCTAGTGGGGATAGCAAGGAAGGCCTGGTTTGCCTGCAGATGGATGGTCCATCATGATCTTTCTTTCCAGCGTTCTTCTTGCTGCAGGGGGCCTGGCCACATGAGGGTAAGTCCTTCTCCAAACCTTAAGGTGTCATCTCCCCACATAAGAGGATTTTCCTGAAACGGGAGGGAAGTCCTGTCAGGGAGTCTCTCTTAAACTAGAAAGAGGGGACCCTGGGGTGCTTGGCCCACAGTTCCGACCTTGCCTCCCTGGCCTTTCATTTCCTTGGCAGAGTCAAGTTCTGTGGGGACCAGGGTTACACTAGGGTGCTCAAAGCTGGGGTGTGTGGTGGGAAAGTGGTAGGAACAGCAGATCCTCTGAGGACAAAGGTGTTACTCACACACTTCAGCGTTTCCATGACGGTAGGGGCTGCAGTGTGGCTGCTGTCATTCTACCAGAAGAGGTGGGAAACCACAGCCATGGCCCTGACATTCCAAATCCTCTGATGGGGGCTCAGTTGTTTATTTTCATTCAGGCATCTGCTGATATTCCATTCTCAAAGGACATGCCCTCCACCCCATGTCTACCCTGTGTTGTTTTATGTGAGTAATCTTACAGTATTAAAATCTAGTAGGAGTCTCTTACTCAGCACTTGCTCAAAGTTCTCAGCTGACACTTTTGTTGTAGGGAGACAGCTTGTCTTTGTGGGATGAGTCCTTCCTTTAGCCCTAGGCACCAAGGTGTGATAGCAGCCATAGAAATGTGGAAAGTGGGGAGAATCTTCTGAGCACAGGGAGGGAGGGGCGGCTCCACATCCTCCTCTCTAAGGCGGCGCCTCCTTCTCCCCAAGGTGGTCAGGACAAGCCCTTGCTTTCTACCTGGCCCAGCCTTGTGGTGCCTCCAGAACATGTGACTCTTCGGTGTCACTCTAATCTTGGGTTTAACAACTTCAGTCTGTACAAGGATGATGGGGTGCCTGTCCCTGAGCTCTACAACAGAATATTCTGGAAAAGCCTTTTCATGGGCCCTGTGACCCCGTCACACACAGGGACCTATAGATGCCGGGGTTCACACACACACTCCCCCAGTGGGGGGTCGGCACCCAGCAACCCCCTGGTGATCGTGGTCACAGGTCAGAGGGCTCCTGTCTGGGATTCTCCTTGTCCCACCTCCTGAATCCCAGAGCTTCTGGTAGGCATGTCCTTGAGGGTCCCTTCACGCAGGCCCTGACTGTATTTGGGGTAAAGGGGGATTGAATACAGGGAAATGGGTGCTGTGGTGGGAAGAATAATTGTCCCCAGTGATGACTACATTCTAATCCCTGGAGTCTGTGACTATTTATGTTATAGGGGAAGGGACTGAAGGGGAAGATGGAGCTCAGGTTGTTGATGAGTTGACCTTGAGATGGGGAGAAGGCCTGGACTGTCCCCCTGGGCTCAGTGTAATGACAAGTGTCCACAGGAAAGGAGGAGGAAGAGGGGAGTGGGGATTAGAGCAGCGTAATGGGAGTCTCCATCAGCTTTGAAGGTGGAGGAAGGCCAGGAGCCATGAATGCAGGTGGCCTATAGAGGCTGGAAAAGTCAAGGAACTGATTCTCCTGAGTCTCCAGAGGGAACGAAACCCTACAGGTGCCTTGATTTTAGCCCAGGAAAAACAGGGCCCAACTTCTGCCTCCAGAAATGGAAGGGGTCAGTGTGCTCTCTCCTGCTGCCATGCTGCTGATAATTTTCTACAGCAGCAACAGGAAACCAACACCGGAACCCAGCTCGAGGAAAAGTTAAGAAAGGACACAAGGATAGCCGGGCGTGGTGGCAGGTGCATGTAATCCTAGCGACTTGGGAGGCTGAGGGCAGGAGAATCACTTGAACCCAGGAGACAGAGGTTGCAGTGAGCCTAGACCACACCACTTCACTCCAGCCTGGGCAAAGGAGTGAGACTCTGTCTCCAAAATTAATTAATTAAAGAAACCAAACAAGGAGAAGGTTGGCTACACCAAGATCAGCAAGTGAGGGATGATGATGCCACCACCAGGCTCCATCCACATAGGGAGCGGTTGATACTCCTCCAACCAGCACCAGGAGCCAGGCTATGGAAGCTGGCACAGGCATGGCAAGAGTGGCTCCCAGTCCCCACCAGGAACAGGGTGTGTGGACACTGGTGCCTGCCTTACTGATCAGTTCATACCTCCTGCCAAGGATTCCAATTCGACCAAAAGAGATTGAACCAGGCTGCTAAGAGCCTGGATGTGCAGCCTATCCTGGTTCCTCTTCCACCCCCACATATACAGCAGGAAAGACATTAGTTCAAAATAGATACAACAGCCGAAGAGATGAGGCTGAGCCCAGCGGCAAGGGAATCAGAGGTTACTAGAGACAGAGGGACAGAGAAGAGGGAGGGAGACAGATGGAAGGACCTGCACCAGGAGTTATGGGCACAGAAAAGAACATGAAGACACAGAGAGGAAGGAGAGAGACAGACACCAGGGAGGGGAAGCCTCACTCAATCCAGGTGCCATGGATGGGATGATAAAGAGAGACACCTTCTAAATTCACAAACTCTCTTCCTAGGATTCCGCAGAAAACCTTCCCTCCTGGCCCACCCAGGTCCCCTGGTGAAATCAGAAGAGACAGTCATCCTGCAATGTTGGTCAGATGTCATGTTTGAGCACTTCCTTCTGCACAGAGAGGGGACGTTTAACCACACTTTGCGCCTCATTGGAGAGCACATTGATGGGGTCTCCAAGGGCAACTTCTCCATCGGTCGCATGACACAAGACCTGGCAGGGACCTACAGATGCTACGGTTCTGTTACTCACTCCCCCTATCAGTTGTCAGCGCCCAGTGACCCTCTGGACATCGTGATCACAGGTGAGAGTGTCCAGACATTCTTCTCATTGTCATTGGGATGCAGAGTGAATGATCCAGGACTTGGAGGCCCAGGTGGTTGTAAGGAAGATGAGCTTGGTATTCTTATGGAGAGAGACTGACTTGGTGAGGTCTGTACCAACAGAGACAGAGAAACAGGAGACACAAGTACAGACCAGGTGTCATAACAGAGGACACACACAGGGGCCTTTCCGAGAGTTAGAAAAGACAGAAGGAGTTAAAGGAGACAGACAGACAGACATGTCCCAGAGAGAGGTGTCCCTCCATGCTGACTTTGCTCAGAGACCTGGCACATGTTAGAAGTTTCATTTCTGTTTTACCTCCACAAAGTGTTCTCTACCAGGAGAACCCAAGGACACCCATATTTCTGACCTGAGTTGGGCCCTATGGCCTCAGGCCTTCTGGCACCTACAGATGCCATGTTTATTCTGACACCTCTGCCTTCCAGGTAATGGAGAGTAATCGTCCCAGGATATCATGGCCCCAGAACACCAACCCCTGTATGCTGTGTGAACTTGTAGTCTCCAGACTGGATTCTGAGGCTCACATTCCAAATAACCCCACATATGAAAGGATCACTGAGAGGCACAGAGAAAAATCAGGAACACCAAAAAGCAAAGACATAAACACACAGAGAATGAGCCAGAGGAAGGAGATTGAGAGACTCACAGACACATAAAGAGAGAGAAAAGAGGGCAGAGGAGTGGTGAGAATGATGGAAGGGAGCAGAGAAAAGCACTAAAATTAGAGTCATGAGGGAGAGGCACAAGGACATAGAAAGATGGAGATGTGGGGATGAATTGCAGAGATTCCAAAGAGAACTAGAGAGACCGAGAGGCAGAGCAAGACAGATGATAGATGGATAGATATAGATAGATGATAAATAGGTAGATGATAGATAATAGGTTATAGATACATAGATGATGATTGATTGATTCATTAATAGATGAGACATAGAGATGATGATGATGAAGACAGATAGATAATACATAGAGATAGAGAGGCAGACATAGAGAAATCATAGAGAGAGAGAGATGATACACAGATATAGATAATAGATGATTGATGGATAGATAGAAAATTGATAGATAAATAGATGATATATAGATATAGATGACAGGTAGAGAATTTGTAGATAGGCACGGAATAGATAAATAGATAGATCGATAGATAATAGATAGAAATATGCAGAAAGTTATGAACAGGACACAAAGTGAGAAACTCAGAATTAAAAAAAGTAACATCAAGTGAACCAATCCAAGGAGAGTCAGAGAGAATAAAACAATCCAAAAAGAGAAAACATATCTAGAGGTGGGGAAGTGAGGTCAGAGACCTAGAGAGACAGAGAAGGTGGAAGGAGGAAATAGACGTGAAGAGAGATGGGGTGGAGGGTGAGAGAGAGAGAGAGAGAGCATTAGGTCACAGAGCAGGGGAGTGAGTTCTCAGCTCAGGTGAAGGGAGCTGTGACAAGGAAGATCCTCCCTGAGGAAAATGCCTCTTCTCCTTCCAGGTCTATATGAGAAACCTTCTCTCTCAGCCCAGCCGGGCCCCACGGTTCTGGCAGGAGAGAGCGTGACCTTGTCCTGCAGCTCCCGGAGCTCCTATGACATGTACCATCTATCCAGGGAAGGGGAGGCCCATGAACGTAGGCTCCCTGCAGGGCCCAAGGTCAACAGAACATTCCAGGCCGACTTTCCTCTGGACCCTGCCACCCACGGAGGGACCTACAGATGCTTCGGCTCTTTCCGTGACTCTCCATACGAGTGGTCAAAGTCAAGTGACCCACTGCTTGTTTCTGTCACAGGTGAGGAAAGCCCATGGCTGTCCCATGTCCTATGATCCTAGAGCCTTAGCTGAGGAGCTTCCTGCTGAGGATGGAGAGAAGCATGGACAGATGCAGAGAGAAGACGCAGCCTCGGTGTGAGGGAGGGATCAGGGCACAGGATGGCAGACAGGGCACCTCCAAACCCTCCTACATGGCCTGCATGGAGGCCCGCGGCCAGGGCTCCAGGCACCCAGGCAGATGGAGAAAGCGGTCAGGAGAGACCCAGAGGAGGGAGACTGGGCTCAGTTTGGGGAGATCAGAGGTTCCCTCAGCCCCTCAACATTACCCATTTCCCAGAAGCCCATCCTGGCCTCTCACCCACACAGAGATGTCATCACCAGCAATCCCTACACCCTTTACTTTTCTTTGAAGAAATATTTATTGAGGATAAATATACCTATATAGCTTACCACCTTTAACATTTTTTTTTGAGGTGGAGTCTAGCTCTGTCCCCTATGCTGGAGTGCAGTGGCACAATCTCAGCTCACTGCAACCTCCGCCTCCTGGGTTCAAGCGATTCTCCTGCCTCAGCCACCTGAGTAGCTGGTGCTACAGGCACGCACCACCATGCCAGGCTACTTTTTGTATTTTTAGTAGAGAGGTGGTTTCACCATGTTGGTCGAGCTGGTCTCGAACTCCTGACCACATGATCCACCCGCATCAGCCTCCCAAAGTGCTGGGATTACAGGCATGGGCCACCGCACCCAGCCACATTTACCATTTTTAAGTGTAAAGTCTAGTGGTCATAAATACATTTATATATATATATATATACATTTTTTTTACCCTCCACCCTTTTCTTCCTGTCCTCCAGTAGCCACCATTCTACTCTCTACCTTCATGAGATCCACCTTTTAGCTCCTGTATATGGGTGAGAAATGGGAATCTTTGTAATGACCTCCAGTTCCATCCATGTGGCTGCAAATGACAGGATGTTATTCTTTCTATGGATGAGTAGTCTCCACTGTGCGTATGTACTACATTCTCTCTATCCATTCACCCACTGATGGGCAGGTAGGTTGACTCCTCATCTTGGCTACTGTGAACAGTGCTGCACCAATCATACGAGTGCAGATATCACTTCGATATATTGATTTACTTTCCTTTGGATATAAACCCAGTAGTGAAATTGCTGGATACTATGAAAGTTCTCTTTTTTTTTTTTTTCTTTTTTGAGAAAGAGTTTCCCTCCTTAGCCCAAGCTGGAGTCAAAGTGGTGCGACCTTGGCTCATTGCAACCTCCGCCTCCTGGGTTCCAATGATTTTCCTGCCTCAGCCTCCCTAGTAGCTGGGATTACAGGTGCACGCCACCATGCCTGGCTACTTTTTGGTTTTTTTAGTATAGATGCGGTTTCCCCATGTTGGCTGGGCTGCTCTCAAACTCATGACCTCAACTGAGGTGCCCGCCTCAGTCTCCCAAAGTGCCGGGATTACAGGCCTGATCCACCACACCCAACCTCTTTTTAGTTCTTTAAAGGACTTCCATACTTTTCTCCGTAATCGCTGTACTAATTTACACTCCTCCCAACAGGGTACCAGGGTTCTCCTTTCTCTACCACCTTGCCAGCATTTCTTTTGCCTGTCTTGCAGCTAAAAGCCATTTTATTTTATTTCATTTTATTTTGAGGTGGAGTTTCGCTCTTGTCACCCAGGCTGAGTGCAGTGGTGCGATCTCGGCTCACCGCAACCTCCACCTCCCAGGTTCAAGCGATTCTCCTGCCTCAGCCTCCCGAGTAGCTGGAATTACAGGCACACGCCACCACGCCCTACTAATTTTTGTATTTTTAGTAGAGACAGCGTTTCTCTATGTGGGTCATACTGGTCTCAAACTCCCGACCTTATGAGATTCACCCACCTCAGGCTCTCAAAATTCTAGGATGACAGACGTGAGCCACCTCGCCCGGCCTAAAAGCCATTTTAATGGAGTGAGATGAAAACTCACTTTGATTTTAATTTGCGTTTCTCTGATGATGAGTGATACTGAGCAGTTTTTCGTATGTGGGGAAATTTCATGTCTTTTGCTCCTTTTTCAATTAAATCATTTGTTTTATTGAGTTGTTTGAGCTTCTTATATTTCTAGTTATTAATCCCATCTCAGATGCATAGTTTGCACATATTTGCTCCCAATCTGTGGGTTGTCTCTTCACTTTGTTGGTTTATTTTTAGCAGTGCAGAAGTTGCTTAGTTTGAGGTAATCCCAATGGTCTATTTTTGCTTCGATTACTTGTGTTTTCAAGGTTTAAAACAAAATGTCTTTCTTCAGACAAATGTCCTGGAGCATTTCCCCAATATTTTGTTCTACGTGTTTCATAGGTTCAGGCCTTAGACTCACATCTTTAATCCATTTTCATTTGATTTTTGTGTATGGTGACAGGTAGAGGTGCAGTTTCATTCCTCTGCATGTCGATGTCCAGGTTTCCCTGCACTGTTTATTGAAAAGACTGTCCTTTCCTGATTGTGAGTTCTTGGCACCTTTGTCAAAGTCCATTGGATGGGCTGGGCTTGGTAGCTAACACCTGCAATTTCAGCACTTTGGGAGGCCGAGGCGGGTGGATTACCTGAGGCCAGGAGTTCAAGATCAGTCTGGACGACGTGATGAAACATCGTCTCCACTAAAAATATAAAAATTAGCTGAGCATGGTGGTCAGCACCTGTAATACCACTACTCAGGAGTTTGAGGCAAGAGAATGATTGAACCCAGGAGGCTGAGGTTGCAGTGAACTGAGATTGCACCTCTGCACTCCAGCCTGAGTGACAGAGCAAGACTCCATCTCAAAAGAAAAAATAAAAACCATTGGATGTAAATGCATGGAATATATCTGTGTTATTCATTCTGCTCCATTGTTCTATGTGCCTTTCTTTATGCCAATGTCATGCTGTTTTGCTTACTACAGCTCTGTAACATATTTTGAGATCAGGTAGTGTGATGCTCCTGTTTTCTCTTTATACCTTGAAGTCTCAAGACAGTGGGTGTCACATAAAAAAATTATGGAAAAAAGGATCCCAGGACTCCCAGGGCCCAATATTAGATAACAGAGTGTTGGCCATGAACCATCCTCAAAGATTTCCACTGAGTAGAGGACAGACACCCTCATTTCCTCACCTCTCTCCTGTCTCGTGTTCTAGGAAACTCTTCAAATAGTTGGCCTTCACCCACTGAACCAAGCTCCGAAACCGGTGAGTACAGAACCCTCTTATATCCGCTTTTGGAAACCTGGGGAGGTGGAAACCTTGGATTCAGGCGTTGACTCAGCATCTCACAGCTCTGACATTGTACCCCTGTCTTCCACCATCTCCGAACTCCAGATACTCCAACAGCGAAAGGGATCTGGGCCCAACACAGGGCTCAGTGAAATCTCTTCATCCCTCATTTTATGGAGCTGAGACCTCCTACAAGCTAGAAGAATGATTGCCAATCTGACATCCTTCTCAGGAAAAATGCAATGTTTGTTCTGCCTGCATTCCTAACTGGAGGATAAATTCCTGGAGACTTGAGAGAGGGAAGGGAAGGGAACATCTGATGAGGGCGAGGTGTTTTAGAGAAGTTCCACTTGCCAAGGAATGAGCTCCTGTAGGTCATGAAGCAACCCTGGCTGACTCCGCAGAGAAAGCGCCTTGCCGTAACAGAGAACAGAGCTCATGCACGCACACTTCGACTCACTGACTCATTCAGCCACGGCCCCATGCTCAGGCTGTGCAGTGTGGAAGCTTTTCCTATTGTTGCCATAACAAATTTCCACAAGATTCGTGGGTGAAAACAAAACGGTTTTTTAATTATCTTACAGTGCTCTAGCTCAAAGTATGAAGTGCATCTCACTGGGCTAAAATCAAGGCGACAGCAAGGCTGCCTTCCCTCTGAGGGTTCCAGGCAAGAATCTGCTTCTCACTTGTCCCAGCTTCTAGAGGCTCCCACATTCCTTCGCTCCTGGTCCCCTTCCTCCTTCCTCAAAGCCCACAAAGGCTGGTCACATCTCACGTGGCATCACTCAGACCCTTCTTCCTTACCACACCTCTTTATCTGAATGCTGCTCTCCCTTCTTCCTCATCTTTTGAAAACTTGGGGATTCTATTGGGTTCACCAAGATGAAAATCCATCATAATCTCCAGGAAATCATTCAGGATACCCTTGTTTTAAGTTCAGCTGATTAGCAACCATAATTCCATCTGCAATCTTCATTCCTCCTTTCCATGTAAAATAAGATATTCACAAGCTATGGAGGCTAGGACAGGGACATTTTGGGGTGGGACAGCATTCTCCTACCTTCCACAAACAGTGAACAAGATGCATTTGGCCTCTGCCCTTGGGACACTGATATTGCAGATGGTTAAATGGGAGGGCAGAAAATGAATGCACAAGTGGACCAATAAATGAATGATCCATTGGGAAGCATCTGTGTATGAAATCTATTTGTTTGTTTCTTCGTTTGTTTATTGAGACAGAGTCTCCCTCCGTCTTCCAGGCTACAGTGCAGTGTCACCATCTTGGCTCACTGCAACCTGCACCTTCTGGATCCAAGTGATTCTCCTGCGTCAGCCTCTCGAGTAGCTGGGATTACAGGCAACTGCCACCATGCCCGGCTAATTCTTTTTGTATATTTTTTGTAGAGGATGTTTCACCATCTTCGCCAAGCTTCTCTGAAACTCCCAACCTCAAGTGATCCGACCGTCTCAGCATCCTAAAGTACTGGGATAACTGGCGTGAGCCACTGTGCCCAGCCAGAATTTAAAATAAATAATACATAATGCTGAGTGTATGATTTTGGGTGACAGAGAAGATCTCACTAATCAGATATTTGTGACATTAATGAAAAACACGGATTGAACCCCTGAAAGATTGGCGGAAGGATTTTCCACACACAGCTGTCAGCCGTGAAGGCAGAAAGCTGAAAACAATCTGATGTGGAAGGAAGAGGCTCTGCCTCAAATGCTGGGAATGAGATGGGGAGAATGACAAGACGACTGTGGAGAGACGGAGAGCACACTGGGTACACAGGAAACTAAGGAGCAACAAGGAGTGTGTGTTTGACACTCACAGCCATTGGATTCACCTCGGGGTAGCCAGGAATCCCTACATGATTAATAGTGACTGACATGAAAATAAGGGAGGCCCAGGTGCGTAACTGGAATCTAGGAGACCGTGGAAAAGGCAATTCCCGCCTCACTGGTGAAATGTGGTGCTGATTTAGACCCTAACTGGGTGAAGCAGATGGATATAAGATATGCTTGTGAGGTGGAATCATTGGCTGGAAAGGCTTGCTGGGTATGATTTTCCTAGTTGTCTAATCCTCGCTTAATTTCTTTCTGAGCTTTATTCCTACTACACATAAATCAATACCTGGCAAAGGAGTGACAGATATATGAGGGGTGGTGGAAATGAAGGGACCTATTACAGCATAATATACAAGTCTGTGAACGGTGGCTCACGCCTGTAACCCAGCACTGCAGGAGGCCAAGGCGGGTGGATCACACGAAGTCAGCAGTTCGAGACCAGCCTGGCCAACATGGTGAAACCCTGTCTCTAGGAAAAACACAAAAATTAGCCGAACATGGTGGTGCATCCCTGTAATGCCAGCTCCTACTCTGGAGGATGAAGCAGGAGAATGACTTCAACCCAGGAGGTGGAGTTTGCAGTGAGTGGAGATTGCATCACTGCACTCCAGCCTGGGTGACACAAGGAGACTCCGTCTCAAAAAATAAAAATAAGAAATGCATAAATATAAATATAATATAACACACGCAAATGACAAAGGGACCTGAATTCCAATCATGATTTTTCTATTTCTCTATAATTACTTCTTTGATCCTTTATCTTATCCATTAGGCAATGAGCCTAAAACCTCTTCCCTATTTGGCTTTCTGTGAGCATGAGATCATATAGAAAATGTGAAAGCCCGCTGAATCCTCCAGCACAGATCCTGGAATACACAAAGTGCTCTGTTCATCACAAAAAAAACATGCCCTCTCACCCAAATCCCCCACCTCACCCCTACTTCCAATCATCTGTGGAGATTCAGATAGGCCATGGGGAGGTAAATTCTAATACTCCTTGGAGTGAGTCCAGATCTTGGAATCAGAGATCAGCGTCAGCACTAGCTCCTGCTCCCCTTTCCTACTAATTCACAGGAGGACAGGTGGTATTGAAGCAATAGATGGCCGAGGGTGTGGTCCTTCCCCCAGCCTCTGGGGTAGAACAGCAGCCTAACATGTGTCTCCTGAGATCACAAAGAGTAGCACGTTTCACATGGGCTTCAACACTATTTCCTGGCCATTTGACATAAGAGAATTCTACTTCGCTTTTTTTATCTTGATTTCACTTTTGTTTCCTTTTCTTGGAGAATGCAAGTTGTTTGACTCAAGAATGCCGTGGATGTATAAATCCTAAAGCACATTCGCTGTGTATCAATCCCAGTGCAGTCTTCCCAGAGAAGACTCTAAACACCTCCTGGACTGCACCTGGGCCTATGCCAATTCCTATCACTCACCGTCACTCCAGGAAGACAGAACACACAGAGAATACATTACACAGGCAGGTTCATTACTAACAGATAAGCAGTGAGTGACAACAGAAGCCTACATTTCAATGTGAGCCAGTCCCTCAAGGCTCAGAAAAGCTGCTCGGGACATATGGAGTCACCCCATTTGCAGTGTAGCTGGGGGAAGCCAGAAAGCAGCCCAGCCTGGGTTTTGTACCCTGGAGCCACAGGAAGCACTCAGCTAAAGCACTGCATGACGCCTTCCTCCAGGAAGAACAGGAAGACAGCCCAGGCTGTTCTGAGACATTCCTCCTGATCTCAGGACGTTGCTGTCGTAGTTTTTTTTTGTTGCTCTAAAGGAAAACTTGAGCCTCGGTAACTTCTAAAGAAAAGAGATCGGTTTGCCTCACCGTTCTGCAGGCTGTACTGGAAGCATGGCACCAGAATCTATTTCTTGTGACGGCCTCAGGCTGCTCCCACTCTGGCAGAAGGGAAGGAGGGTCTGTCTGTGCAGAGACCGCAGAGATCACACGGCAAGAGAGAGAGTAAGGGGGAGGGGGAGCGATGGAGCTTCCAAGCTCTTTTGAACAACCAGCTCTCCGGGAACTAATAGAGGGGGAACTTGCTAACCCCGTCTCCTTGGGACAGCATTGTTCTGTTCATGATGGATCCACCTCCATGACCCAAACACCTCCCAAGAGGCCCAACCTCCCACAGTGGGGGTGAAATTTCCATGTGAGGTTTGAAGGGGTCAGACATCTCAACTAAAGTAGTTGTATCCTCAGCACGTTCTATGGTTACTATGAGAGCTATAATTGAGAAAGCAGGGGAAAGCTAGGTCTCCCACCATTTGGGTGCTTGTCCTAAAGAGACGTTGTATGTGGTTACCTGTCAATCAAGAAATGCGAGACAATTCATAAAGAGGAACTGCTATGATTAGCTTCTTATTGGTGTCTCCTCTTCTTCCAGGTAACCCCAGACACCTACACGTTCTGATTGGGACCTCAGTGGTCAAACTCCCTTTCACCATCCTCCTCTTCTTTCTCCTTCATCGCTGGTGCTCCAACAAAAAAAGTAAGTCTCACGAAGCAGAGGCCAGAGAGCTCAGGGCCATGTGGGGAAGCAGGATGGTAGCACGCGGGTGTGTGTTCCTCACAGGCAGGATGGTCCCTGGCCCAAGGCAGGAGCCACAGAGGCAGGACTTTCTAGAGAGAGCACCAGATTCCCTTCCCCTGCCTTCAGCTCACAGACCATTGCCTGATTCTGAACTGTACCCTCACGTCCCCTGCAGCCACTCACATCCAGGAGAAGGTTCCATGACAGGCAGAAAGTGGGAGATAGAATCAATGGGATGGGAACTCAGAGCTATTCATGGGATGGGTCCTTGAGCTCAGAGAGATAGAATGTCTGAGTCTGCTGTTGGCAACTGAGGGACCTCAGGCACCTATGGCCTCCCCCTGTTTGTTGGTATCTGCTTATGAAATGAGGACCCAGAAGTGCCCTCCGAGCTGTTTTGTTGACTTCCATCTTCTACAGATGCATCTGTAATGGACCAAGGGCCTGCGGGGAACAGAACAGTGAACAGGGAGGTAGGTGCTCCTCGGCCCAGCCTCGTGGCTAGTCTTATTCCCAAAGAGTCCTGAAAAATGTGAGCACCCTCCCTCACTCAGCATTTCCCTCTCTCCAGGATTCTGATGAACAGGACCATCAGGAGGTGTCATACGCATAATTGGATCACTGTGTTTTCACACAGAGAAAAATCACTCCCCCTTCTCAGAGGCCCAAGACACCCCCAACAGATACCAGCATGTACATAGAACTTCCAAATGCTGAGTCCAGATCCAAAGCTGTCTTCTGTCCACGAGCACCACAGTCAGGCCTTGAGGGGATCTTCTAGGGAGACAACAGCCCTGTCTCAAAACCGGGTTGCCAGCTCCCATGTACCAGCAGCTGGAATCTGAAGGCATCAGTCTTCATCTTAGGGGATCGCTCTTCCTCAAACCACGAATCTGAACATGCCTCTCTCTTGCTTACAAATGTCTAAGGTCCCCACTGCCTGCTGGAGAGAAAACACACTCCTTTGCTTAGCCCACAATTCTCCATTTCACTTGACCCCTGCCCACCTCTCCAACCTAACTGGCTTACTTCCTAGTCTACTTGAGGCTGCAATCACACTGAGGAACTCACAATTCCAAACATACAAGAGGCTCCCTCTTAACACAGCACTTAGACACGTGCTGTTCCACCTTCTCTCATGCAGTTCCACCTCCCCTCAGACTATCTTTCAGCCTTCTGTCAGCAGTAAAACTTATAAATTGTTTTTAGTAATTTCAATGTAGTTTTCCCTCCTTCAAATAAACATGTCTGCCCTCATGGTTTCGGTAATGGGACTCTTTTCTTGCCTAAGGCTTCTGGTGTTATCATTACCATGTCCACATAACCCCATCTGTTCTCCACTGGGTTCTCACCCCTGGACTCTGAGCTTCTGGAACAGGGTGGACCCTGACTTGTCTCTGAGACTCCAATTTCCATCCAAAGATGCAGCACATAGGAAGTTCCAAGGATCGTGAATCACATGAACAAGTGATATTCTTACTCTCTGCAGACCTGGAAAGCTGGCAGAGTCATTCCATGATGAAACATTTGTAGAGTCATAGGCCTTGTTAGTCTCATCTCCACGGGGACACATGTCAACGCATCATCTTTCATACTATAAATATACAGTCGCTCCTCCGTATCTGTGGGGTTTACAGGTGTTTATTGAACCAAGTATAAATCAAAAATATTCAGAGAAAAAGCCCACAAAGTTCCAAAAAGCAAAACTGTGTTGAATGCACACAAATGAGGTGGTGTATAGGCTGTATCAGGAATTATAAGTAATCAAGAGATGATTTCATGTATACAGGAGGATGTGCATGGGTTATATCCAAATGCTGTGTCATTTTATGTAAGAGGCTTGAGCATCTGCAGATTTTAGTATCTGAGTGGAGATCCTGAAACCAATCACCCATGAATAGTGAAGGATGACGGTATAGGACTTTTATTTCTCAAATTTAAATATAAATCATAAAAAATGTACAATAACTAGATAAAAACTAAGAAGTGTTTTTATAGTGTGAGAATAAGTTTAGATTTATTATTTCCTATGTGTAACCCTTTGGTTTAATATTATTTATTGAGAAGACATTCTATGCCACCTTAAACCACACGGCAGCCTTTGTCAACTAAAAAGGGACTGTGTGTACACGGATGTGTATTTTAGACACTGTCTCTGCTAAACGGCTCTCTGTGTCCACATTCTTGAGGATGCTCCACTTTATGTAGCCCCATAGAACCCTTTAAATTTAGTAGCCAGAGGCCTCTAATTTGTTATTATAGGCTATTTGCTATTTTTATTTTCTTGAGGCGGAGTCTTGCTCTGTCGCCCAGGCTGGACTGCAGTGGTGCAATCTCAGCTCACTGCAACCTCCGCCTCCCAGGTTCAAGCGATTCTCGTGCCTCAGCCTCTTGGGTAGCTGGTGTTACAAGTTCCTGCCACTGGGCACGGCTAATTTTTGGATTTTTAGCAGAGACACGGTTTCACTGTGTTGCCAGGCTGCTCTCAAACTCCTTATATCAGTTGATCCGCCCACCTCGGCTTCCCGACGTGCTGGGGGAAACTTGATTTTCTATAGCATTATGTTACTGGATATTTCTGTAAAATTTAAAATGAGGGAGGGAGAGAGACAGAGAGAGAGCAAACTCCAGAGTTGGGACTCTGGAAACTTGGGTCATGAGACAAATTTTAGATAAATCTACAAAAATCCAGAGTTTAAATGTGTGGTTTTTGCTGATAACGTACAATTCAAAGATTGTAAATAATTGCATAATCCTTCCCTGGGAATTTAAATCATTTTAACTGGTTCTGCTGTAATACTAGAAATACAAGCATGAAAAATTCTAATGGTTTATTAGTCACAATGACTCTGAAAACCTTAATAATACCTATTAGATATTTTGCATATTACACAGGAAGAAGAGTTTGAATCTCAGATAAAAACAATAAAAATACATGAAAAGTCTTTCACGTTAGCACAGATTTTAGGCATCTCGTGTTCAGGAGGTTGGATCTGAGACGTGTTTTGAGTTGGTCATAGTGAAGGACGCTAGGTGTAAATTCTAGTGAGAACAATTTCCAGGAAGCCGTGTTCCGCTCTTGAGCGAGCAACCACTGGGCCTCATGCAAGGTAGAAAGAGCCTGCGTACGTCACCCTCCCATGATGTGGTCAACATGTAAACTGCATGGGCAGGGCGCCAAATAACATCCTGTGCGCTGCTGAGCTGAGCTGGGGCGCGGCCGCCTGTCTGCACCGGCAGCACCATGTCGCTCACGGTCGTCAGCATGGCGTGTGTTGGTGAGTCCTGGAAGGGAATAGAGGAAGGGAGTGTGGGGTTGGAGATCTGGGCCCAGAGGTGGATATATAGGCCTGGAGGTGGAGTTGTGGGCCTGGAGTGGAGATCTGGGCCTGGAGTGGATATATGGGCCTAGAGATGGAGTGATGGGCCTAGAAGTGGAGATCTGGGCCCAGAGGTCGAGATATAGGCCTGGAGGTGGAGTGATGGGACTGTAGTGGAGATCTGGGCCTGGAGTGGAGATAGGAACCTGGAGGGGAGATAGGAACCTGGAGGGGAGATATGGGCCTGGAGGTGGAGATATGGGCCTGGAGTGGAGTCATGGGCCTGGAGGTGGAGTTACGGGCCTGCAGTAGAGATATGGGCCTGAAGTGGAGACATGGGCCTGGAGTGGAGATATGGGCCAGGAGTGGAGATATGGGCCTAGAGGTCGATATCTGGGCCTGGAGTGGAGATATGGGCCAGGAGTGGAGATATGGGCCTAGAGGTCGATATCTGGGCCTGGAGAGGAGATATGTGCCTAGGATGGAGATACGGGCCTGGGTGTGGAGATATGGGACTGGAGAGGATATATGGGCCTGGAGTGGAGATATGGGACTGGAGAGGAGATATGGACCTGGAGTGGAGATAAGGGCCTGGATTGGAGATATGGGCCCAGGGTGGAGATCTGAGCCTGGATTGGAGATATGGGCCTGGATTGGCGATATGGGCTTAGGGTGGAAATATCGGCCTGGAGTGGAGATATGGGCCTGGAGTGGAGATATGGGCTTGAGGTGGGGATATGGACCTGGAGGCTGGGTCTCTGCACAGCCGACAGCCCTGTTCTTGGGTGCAGGTAGGCACTGAGGGTGAGTTTACCTTCAGCCCAGGAAGGGCCTGGCTACCAAGACTCACAGCCCAGTGGGGGCAGCAAGGGTGCCCTGGTTTGCCTGCAGATGGGTCATCCATCATGATCTTTCTTTCCAGGGTTCTTCTTGCTGCAGGGGGCCTGGCCACATGAGGGTGAGTCCTTCTCCAAACCTTCGGGTGTCATCTCCCCACATAAGAGGATTTTCCTGAAATGGGAGGGAAGTCCTGTCAGGGAGTCTCTCATAAACTAGGAAGAAGGGACCCTGGGGTGCTGGGCCCACATTTCTGACCTTGCCTCCCTGGCCTTTCATTCCCTTGGCAGAGTCAAGTTCTGTGGGGACCAGGGTTAGACTACGGTGCTCAAAGCTGGGGTGTGTGGTGGGGAAGTGGTAGGAACAGCAGATCCTCTGAGGACAAAGGTGTTACTCACACACTTCAGCGTTTCCATGACGGTAGGGGCTGCAGTGTGGCTGCTGTCATTCTACCAGAAGAGGTGGGAAAACCACAGCCATGGCCCTGACATTCCAATCCTCTGATGGGGACTCAGTTGTTTATTTTCGTTCAGGCATCGGCTGATATTCCATTCTCAAAGGACATGCCCTCCACCCCATGTCTACCCTGTGTTGTTTTATGTGAGTAATCTTACAGTATTAAAATCTAGTAGGAGTCTCTTACTCAGCACTTGCTCAAAGTTCTCAGCTGACACTTTTGTTGTAGGGAGACACCTTGTGTTTGCGGGATGGGTTCTTCCTTTAGCCCTGGGCACCAAGGTGTGATAGCAGCCATAGAAACTTGGAAAGCGAGGAGAATCTTCAGAGCACAGGGAGGGAGGGGCGGCTCCACATCCTCCTCTCTAAGGCGGTGCCTCCTTCTCCCCACGGTGGTCAGGACAAGCCCTTGCTGTCTGCCTGGCCAAGCCCTGTGGTGCCTCCAGGATATGTGATTCTTCAGTGTCATTCTTATCTTGGGTTTAACAACTTCAGTCTGTAAAAGGAAGATGGGGTGCCTGTCCCTGAGCTCTACAACATAATATTCTGGAACAGCCTTTTCATGGGCCCTGTGACCCCAGCACACGCAGGGACCTATACATGTCGGGGTTCACAACCACACTACCCCAGTGGGTGGTCGGCACCCAGCAACCCCCTGGAGATCACGGTCACAGGTCAGAGGGCTCCTGTCTGGGATTCTCCTTGTCCCACCTCCTGAATCCCAGAGCTCCTGGTGGGCGTGTCCTTGCGGGTCCCATCATGCAAGTCCTGACTGTATTTGGGGTAAAGGGGGATTGAATACAGGGAAATGGGTGCTGTGGTGGGAAGAATAATTGTCCCCAGTGATGACTACATTCTAATCCCTGGAGTCTGTGACTATTTATGATATAGGGGAAGGGACTGAAGGAGAAGATGGAGCTCAGGTTGTTGATGAGTTGACCTTGAGATGGGGAGACAACCTGGACTGTCCTGATGGGCTCAGTGTAGTCACAGGGGTCCACAGGAAAGGAGGAGGAAGAGGGGAGTGGGGATTACAGCAGCATAATGGGAGTCTCCATCAGCTTTGAAGGTGGAGGAAGTCCAGGAGCCATGAATGCAGGTGGCCTATAGAGGCTGGAAAAGTCAAGGAACTGATTCTCCTGAGTCTCCAGAGGGAACGAAGCCCTGCAGGTACCTTGATTTTACCCACGACAAACAGGGTCCGATTTCTGTCTCCAGAATTGGAAGGGGTTAGTGTGCTCTCTCCTGCTGCCATGCTTCTGATAATTTTCTACAGCAGCAACAGGAAACCAACACTGGAACCCAGGTCAAGGACAAGTTAAGAAACAACACAAGGATAGCCAGGCATGGTGGCAGGTGCATGTAATCCTAGCGACTTGGGAGGCTGAGGGCAGGAGAATCACTTGAACCCAGGAGACAGAGGTTGCAGTAAGCCTAGACCACACCACTTCACTCCAGCCTGGGCAAAGGAGTGAGACTCTGTCGCCAAAATTAATTAATTAATTAAAGAAACCAAACAAGGAGAAGGTTGGCTACACTGAGATCAGCAAGGCTCGGATGATGATGCCACCACCAGGCTCCATCCACATAGGGAGCGGTTGATACTCCTCCAACCAGCACCAGGAGCCAGGCTATGGAAGCTGGCACTGGCATGGCAAGAGTGTCTCCCAGTCCCTACCAGGAACAGGGTGTGTGGCCACTGGTGCCTGCCTTACTGATCAGTTCATACCTCCTGCCAAGGATTCCAATTCGTCCAAAAGAGATTGAACCAGGCTGCTAAGAGCCTGGATGTGCAGCCTATCCTGGTTCCTCTTCCACCCCCACACAGACAGCAGGAAAGACATTAGTTCGAAATAGATACAACAGCCCAAGAGATGAGGCTGAGCCCAGCGGCAAGGGAATCAGAGGCTACTAGAGACAGAGGGACAGAGAAGAGTGAGGGAGACAGATGGAAGGACCTGCACCAGGAGTTATGGGCACAGAAAAGAACATGAAGACACAGAGAGGAAGGAGAGAGATAAGACACCAGGAAGGGGAAGCCTGACTCAATCCAGGTGCCATGGATGGGATGATAAAGAGAGACACCTTCTAAACTCACAACCTCTCTTCCTAGGAGTCCACAGAAAACCTTCCCTCCTGGCCCACCCAGGTCGCCTGGTGAAATCAGAAGAGACAGTCATCCTGCAATGTTGGTCAGATGTCATGTTTGAACACTTCCTTCTGCACAGAGAGGGGATGTTTAACGACACTTTGCGCCTCATTGGAGAACACCATGATGGGGTCTCCAAGGCCAACTTCTCCATCAGTCGCATGAAGCAAGACCTGGCAGGGACCTACAGATGCTACGGTTCTGTTACTCACTCCCCCTATCAGTTGTCAGCTCCCAGTGACCCTCTGGACATCGTGATCATAGGTGAGAGTGTCCAGACTTTCTTCTCATTGTCATTGGGATGCAGAGTGAATGATCCAGGACTTGGAGGCCCAGGTGGCTGTAAGGAAGATGAGCTTGGTATTCTTATGGAGAGAGACTGACTTGGTGAGGTCTGTGCCAACAGAGACAGAGAAACAGGAGACACAAGTAGAGACCAGGTGTCATAACAGAGAACAGACACAGGGGCCATACCGGGAGTTTGAAAAGACAGAAAGAGTTAAAGGAAACACACAGACAGACATGTCCCAGAGAGAGGTGTCCCTCCATGCTGACTTTGCTCAGAGACCTGGCACAGGTTAGAAGTTTCATTTCTGTTTTACCTCCACAAAGTGTTCTCTACCAGGAGAACCCAAGGACACCCATATTTCTGACCTGAGTTGGGCCCTGTGGCCTCAGGCCTTGTGGCACCTACAGATGCCATGTTTATTCTGACACCTCTGCCTTCCATGTAATGGAGAGTAATCGTCCCAGGATATCATGGCCCCACAACACCAACCCCTGTATGCTGTGTGAACTTGTAGTCTCCAGACTGGATTCTGAGGCTCATATTCCAAATAAGCCCACTTATGAGAGGATCAGTGAGAGGCACAGAGAGAAATCAGGGACACCAAAAAGCAAAGACATAAACACACAGAGAATGAGCCAGAGGAAGGAGATTGAGAGACTCACAGACACATAAAGAGAAAAGAGGGCAGAGAAGTGAGAATGATGGAAGGGAGCAGAGAAAAGCACTAAAATTAGACTCCTGAGGGAGAGGCACAAGGACATTGAAAGATGGAGATGTGGGGATGAATTGCAGAGATTCCAAAGAGAACTAGAGAGACCGAGAGGCAGAGCAAGACAGATGATAGATGGATAGATATAGATAGATGATAAATAGGTAGATGATAGATAATAGGTTATAGATACATAGATGATGATTGATTGATTCATTAATAGATGAGACATAGAGATGATGATGATGAAGACAGATAGATAGATAATACATAGAGATACAGAGGCAGACATAGAGAAATCATAGAGAGAGAGAGATGATACATAGATATAGATAATAGATGATTGATGGATAGATAGACAATTGATGGATAAATAGATGATATATAGATATAGATGACAGGTAGAGAATTTGTAGATAGGCACCGAATAGATAAATAGATAGATCGATAGATAATAGATAGAAATATGCAGAAAGTTATGAACAGGACACAAAGTGAGAAACTCAGAATTAAAAAAAGTAACATCAAGTCAACCAATCCAAGGAGAGTCAGAGAGAATAAAACAATCCAAAAAGAGAAAACATATCTAGAGGTGGGGAAGTGAGGTCAGAGACCTAAAGAGACAGAGAAGGTGGAAGGAGGAAATAGACATGAAGAGCGATGGGGTAGAGGGTGAGAGAGAGAGAGAGAGAGCATTAGGTCATAGAGCAGGGGAGTGAGTTCTCAGCTCAGGTGAAGGGAGCTGTGACAAGGAAGATCCTCCCTGAGGAAACTGCCTCTTCTCCTTCCAGGTCTATATGAGAAACCTTCTCTCTCAGCCCAGCCGGGCCCCACGGTTCTGGCAGGAGAGAATGTGACCTTGTCCTGCAGCTCCCGGAGCTCCTATGACATGTACCATCTATCCAGGGAAGGGGAGGCCCATGAACGTAGGCTCCCTGCAGGGACCAAGGTCAACGGAACATTCCAGGCCAACTTTCCTCTGGGCCCTGCCACCCATGGAGGGACCTACAGATGCTTCGGCTCTTTCCGTGACTCTCCATACGAGTGGTCAAAGTCAAGTGACCCACTGCTTGTTTCTGTCACAGGTGAGGAAAGCCCATGGCTGTCCCATGTCCTATGATCCTAGAGCCTTAGCTGAGGAGCTTCCTGCTGATGATGGAGAGAAGCATGGACAGATGCAGAGAGAAGACGCAGCCTCGGTGTGAGGGAGGGATCAGGGCACAGGATGGCCGACAGGGCACCTCCAAACCCTCCTACATGGCCTGCATGGAGGCCCACGGCCAGGGCTCCAGGCACCCAGGCAGATGGAGAAAGCGGTCAGGAGAGACCCAGAGGAGGGAGACTGGGCTCAGTTTGGGGAGATCAGAGGTTCCCTCAGCCCCTCAACCTTACCCATTTCCCAGAAGCCCATCCTGGCCTCTCACCCACACAGAGATGTCATCACCAGCAACCCCTACACCCTTTACTTTTCTTTGAAGAAATATTTATTGAGGATAAATATACCTATATAGCTTACCACTTTTAACATTTTTTTTTGAGGTGGAGTCTAGCTGTGTCCCCTATGCTGGAGTGCAGTGGCACAATCTCAGCTCACTGCAACCTCCACCTCCTGGGTTCAAGCGATTCTCCTGCCTCAGCCACCTGAGTAGCTGGTGCTACAGGCACGCACCACCACGCCAGGCTACTTTTTGTATTTTTAGTAGGGAGGTGGTTTCACCATGTTGGTCGAGCTGGTCTCGAACTCCTGACCAAGTGATCCACCCGCATCTGCCTCCCAAAGTGCTGGGATTACAGGCATGGGCCACCGCGCCCAGCCACATTTACCATTTTTAAGTGTAAAGTCTAGTGGTCATAAATACATTTATATACATATATATATATATACATTTTTTTTACCCTCCACCCTTTTCTTCCTGTCCTCCAGTAGCCACCATTCTACTCTCTACCTTCATGAGATCCACCTTTTAGCTCCTGTATATGGGTGAGAAATGGGAATCTTTGTAATGACCTCCAGTTCCATCCATGTGGCTGCAAATGACAGGATGTTATTCTTTCTATGGATGAGTAGTCTCCACTATGCGTATGTACTACATTCTCTCTATCCATTTACCCACTGATGGGCAGGTAGGTTGACTCCTCATCTTGGCTACTGTGAACAGTGCTGCACCAATCATACGAGTGCAGATATCACTTCGATATATTGATTTACTTTCCTTTGGATATAAACCCAGTAGTGAAATTGCTGGATACTATGAAAGTTCTCTTTTTTTCTTTTTTTCTTTTTTGAGAAAGAGTTTCCCTCCTTAGCCCAAGCTGGAGTCAAAGTGGTGCGACCTTGGCTCATTGCAACCTACGCCTCCTGGGTTCAAATGATTTTCCTGCCTCAGCCTCCCTAGTAGCTGGGATTACAGGTGCACACCACCATGCCTGGCTACTTTTTGGTTTTTTTAGTATAGATGGGGTTTCCCCATGTTGGCTGGGCTGCTCTCAAACTCATGACCTCAACTGAGGTGCCCGCCTCAGTCTCCCAAAGTGCCGGGATTACAGGCATGATCCACCGCACCCAACCTCTTTTTAGTTCTTTAAAGGACTTCCATACTTTTCTCCGTAATGGCTGTACTAATTTACACTCCTCCCAACAGGGTACCAGGGTTCTCCTTTCTCTACCACCTTGCCAGCATTTCTTTTGCCTGTCTTGCAGCTAAAAGCCATTTTATTTTATTTCATTTTATTTTGAGATGGAGTTTTGCTCTTCTCACCCAGGCTGGAGTGCAGTGGCGCGATCTCGGCTCACCACAACCTCCACCTCCCAGGTTCAAGCGATTCTCCTGCCTCAGCCTCCCGAGTAGCTGGAATTACAGGCACACGCCACCACGCCCGACTAATTTTTGTATTTTTAGTAGAGACAGTGTTTCTCTATGTGGGTCATACTGGTCTCAAACTCCCGACCTTATGAGATTCACCCACCTCAGGCTCTCAAAGTTCTAGGATGACAAACGTGAGCCACCTCACCCGGCCTAAAAGCCATTTTAATGGGGTGAGATGAAAACTCACTTTGAATTTAATTTGCGTTTCTCTGATGATGAGTGATACTGAGCAGTTTTTCGTATGTGGGGAAATTTCATGTCTTTTGCTCCTTTTTCAATTAAATCATTTGTTTTATTGAGTTGTTTGAGCTTCTTATATTTCTAGTTATTAATCCCATCTCAGATGCATAGTTTGCACATATTTGCTCCCAATCTGTGGGTTGTCTCTTCACTTTGTTGGTTTATTTTTAGCGGTGCAGAAGTTGCTTAGTATGAGGTAATCCCAATGGTCTATTTTTGCTTCGATTACTTGTGTTTTCAAGGTTTAAAACAAAATGTCTTTCTTCAGACAAATGTCCTGGAGCATTTCCCCAATATTTTGTTCTACGTGTTTCATAGGTTCAGGCCTTAGACTCACATCTTTAATCCATTTTCATTTGATTTTTGTGTATGGTGACAGGTAGAGGTGCAGTTTCATTCCTCTGCATGTAGATGTCCAGGTTTCCCTGCACTGTTTATTGAAAAGACTGTCCTTTCCTGATTGTGAGTTCTTGGCATCTTTGTCAAAGTCCATTGGATGGGCTGGGCTTGGTGGCTAACACCTGCAATTTCAGCACTTTGGGAGCCCGAGGTGGGTGGATCACCTGAGGCCAGGAGTTCAAGATTAGTCTGGCCGACGTGATGAAACATCATCTCCACTAAAAATATAAAAATTAGCTGAGCATGGTGGTCAGCACCTGTAATACCACTACTCAGGAGTTTGAGGCAAGAGAATGATTGAACCCAGGAGGCTGAGGTTGCAGTGAACCGAGATTGCACCTTTGCACTCCAGCCTGAGTGACAGAGCAAGACTCCATCTCAAAAGAAAAAATAAAAAACCATTGGATGTAAATGCATGGAATATATCTGTGTTATTCATTCTGCTCCGTTGTTCTATGTGCCTTTCTTTATGCCAGTGTCATGCTATTTTGCTTACTACAGCTCTGTAACATATTTTGAGATCAGGTAGTGTGATGCTCCTGTTTTCTCTTTATACCTTGAAGTCTCAAGACAGTGGGTGTCACATAAAAAAATTATGGAAAAAAGGATCCCAGGACTCCCAGGGCCCAATATTAGATAACAGAGTGTTGGCCATGAACCATCCTCAAAGATTTCCACTGAGTGGAGGACAGAAACCCTCATTTCCTCACCTCTCTCCTGTCTCATGTTCTAGGAAACCCTTCAAATAGTTGGCCTTCACCCACTGAACCAAGCTCCGAAACCGGTGAGTACAGAACCCTCTTATATCCGCTTTTGGAAACCTGGGGAGGTGGAAACCTTGGATTCAGGCGTTGACTCAGCATCTCACAGCTCTGACATTGTACACCTGTCTTCCACCATCTCCGAACTCCAGATACTCCTACAGCGAAAGGGATCTGGGCCCAACACAGGGCTCAGTGAAATCTCTTCATCTCTCATTTTATGGAGCTGAGACCTCCTACAAGCTAGAAGAATGATTGCCAATCTGACATCCTTCTCAGGAAAAATGCAATGTTTGTTCTGCCTGCATTCCTAACTGGAGGATAAATTCCTGGAGACTTGAGAGAGGGAAGGGAAGGGAACATCTGATGAGGGCGAGGTGTTTTAGAGAAGTTCCACTTGCCAAGGAATGAGCTCCTGTAGGTCATGAAGCAACCCTGGCTGACTCAGCAGAGCAAGAGCCTTGCCGTAACAGAGAACAGAGCTCATGCACACACACTTCGACTCACTGACTCATTCAGCCACGGCCCCATGCTCAGGCTGTGCAGTGCGGAACCTTTTCCTATTGTTGCCATAACAAATTTCCACAAGATTCGTGGGTGAAAACAAAACGGTTTTTTAATTATCTTACAGTGCTGTAGCTCAAAGTAGGAAGTGCATCTTACTGGGCTAAAATCAAGGTGACAGCAAGGCTGCCTTCCCTCTGAGGATTCCAGGCACGAATCTGCTTCTCACTTGTCCCAGCTTCTAAAGGCTCCCAGTTCCTTGGCTCCTGGTCCCCTTCCTCCTTCCTCAAAGCCCACAAAGACTGGTCACATCTCACATGGCATCACTCAGTGCCTTCTTCCTTACCACACTTCTTTCTCTGAATGCTGCTCTCCCTTCTTCCTCATCTTTTGAAAACTTGGGGATTCTATTGGGTTCACCAAGATGAAAATCCCTCATAATCTCCTGGAAATCATCCAGGATACCCTTGTTTTAAGTTCAGCTGATTAGTAACCATAATTCCATCTGCAATCTTCATTCCTCCTTTCCATGTAAAATAACATATTCACAAGCTATGGAGGCTAGGACAGGGACATTTTGGGGTGGGACAGCATTCTCCTGCCTTCCACAAACAGTGAACAAGATGCATTTGGCCTCTGCCCTTGGGACACTGATATTGCAGATGGTTAAATGGGAGGGCAGAAAATGAATGCACAAGTGGATCTATAAATGAATGATCCATTGGGAAGCATCTGTGCATGAAATCTATTTTTTGTTTGTTCTTTTGTTTATTGAGACAGAGTTGCCCTCTGTCTTCCAGGCTACAGTGCAGTGTCACGATCTTGGCTCACTGCAACCTGCTTCTCCTGGATTCAAGTGATTCTCCTGCCTCCGCCTCTCGAGTAGCTGGGATTACAGGCAACTGCCACCGTGCCCGGCTAATTCTTTTTGTATATTTTTTGTAGAGAGGATGTTTCACCACGTTGGCCAAGCTTGTCTGAAACTCCCAACCTCAAGTGATCCGACCGTCTCAGCATGCCAAAGTAATGGGACTACAGGCGTGAGCCACTGTGCCCAGCCAGAATTCAAAATCAATAATAGATAATGCTGAGTGTATGATTTCAGGTGACAAAGAAGGTCTCACTATTCAGATATTTGTGACATTAATGAAAAACACGGATTGAACCCCTGAAAGATTGGCGGAAGGATTTTGCACACACAGCTGTCAGCCGTGAAGGCACAAAGGTGAAAACAATCTGATGTGGAAGGAAGAGGCTCTTCCTCAAATGCTGGGAATGAGGTGGGGAGAATGACAAGACGACTGTGGAGAGACGGAGAGCACACTGGGTACACAGGAAACTAAGGAGCAACAAGGAGTGTGTGTTTGACACTCACAGCCATTGGATTCACCTCGGGGTAACCAGGAATCCCTACATGATTAATATGACTGACATGAAAATAAAGGAGGCCCAGGGGCGTAACTGGAATCTAGGAGACCGTGGAAAAGGCAATTCCCGACCCACTGGTGAAATGTGGTGCTGATTTTGACACTAAGTGGATGAAGCAGATGGATATAAGCTATGCTTGTGAGGTAGAATCATTGGCTGGAAAGGCTTGCTGGGTTTGATTTTCCTACTTGTTTAATCCTCGCTTAATTAATTTCTTTCTGAGATTTATTCATCCTACACATAAATCAATACCTGGCAAAGGAGTGACAGATATATGAGGGGTGGTGGAAATGAAGAGACCTATTATAGCGTAATATACAAGTCTGTGAACGGTGGCTCACGCTTGTAACCCAGCACTGCAGGAGGCCAAGGCGGGTGGATTCCATGAAGTCAGGAGTTCCAGACCAGCCTGGCCAACATGGTGAAACCCTATCTGTACTAAAAATACAAAAATTAGCCGAGCATGGTGGTGCATCCCTGTAATCCCAGCTCCTACTCTGGAGGATGAAGCAGGAGAATGACTTCAACCCAGGAGGTGGAGGTTGCAGTGAGTGGAGATTGCATCACTGCACTCCAGCCTGGGTGACACAAGGAGACTCCGTCTCAAAAAATAAAAATAAGAAATGCATAAATATAATAAAACACACACGAATGACAAAGGCACCTGAATTCCAATCATCATTTTTCTATTTCTCTATAATTACTTCTTTGATCCTTTATCTTATCCATTAGGCAATGAGCCTAAAACCTCTTCCCTATTTGGCTTTCTGTGAGCATGAGATCACATAGAAAATGTGAAAGCCCGCTGAATCCTCCAGCACGGATCCTGGAATAGAGAAAGTGCTCTGTTCATCGCAAAAAAAAACTTGCCCACTCACCCAAATCCCCCACCTCACCCCTACTTCCAATCACCTGTGGAGATTCAGATAGACCATGGGGAGGAAACATTAATACTCCTTGGAGTGAGTCCAGATCTTGGAATCAGAGATCAGCGACAGCACTAGCTCCTGTTCCCCTTTCCTACTAATTCACAGGAGGACAGGTGGTATTGAAGCAATAGATGGTGGAGGGGGTGGTCCTTCCCCCAGCCTCTCGGGTAGAACAGCAGCCTAACATGTGTCTCCCGAGATCACAAAGAGCAGCACATTTCACACGGGCTTCAACACTATTTTCTGGCTGTTTGACATAAGAGAATCTTGCTTCGCTATTTTTAATCGTGATTTCACCTTTGTTTCCTTTCCTTGGTGAATGCAATTTGTTTGACTCAAGAATGCTGTGGATGTAGAAATCCTAAAGCACATTCGCTGTGTATCAATCCCAGTGCAGTCTTCCCAGAGAAGACTCTAAACAAATCCTGGACTGCACCTGGGCCTATGCCAATTCCTATCACTCACCGTCACTCCAGGGAGACAGAACACACAGAGAATACGTTACATAGGCAGGTTCATTACTAACAGATAAGCAGTGAGTGACAACAGAAGCCTGCATTTCAATGTGAGCCAGTCCCTCAAGGCTCAGAAAAGCTGCTCGGGACATATGGAGTCACCCCATTTGCAGTGTAACTGGGGGAAGCCAGAAAGCAGCCCAGCCTGGGTTTTGTACCCTGGAGCCACAGGAAGCACTCAGCTAAAGCACTGCATGACGTCCTCCTCCAGGAAGAACAGGAAGACAGCCCAGGCTGTTCTGAGACATTCCTCCTGATCTCAGGATGTTGCTATCTTAGTCCATTTTTGTTGCTCTAAAGGAACACTTGAGCCTGGGTAACTTCTAAAGAAAAGAGATTGGTTTGCCTCACAGTTCTGCAGGCTGTACTGGAAGCATGGCACCAGAATCTATTTCTCGTGATGGCCTCAGGCTGCTCCCACTCTGGCAGAAGGGAAGGAGGGTCTGTCTGTGCAGAGACCGCAGAGATCACACGGCAAGAGAGAGAGTAAGGGGGAGAGGGAGCGATGGAGCTTCCAAGCTCTTTTTAACAACCAGCTCTCCAGGAACTAACAGAGGGGGAACTTGCTAACCCCGTCTCCTTGGGACAGCATTGGTCTGTTCATGATGGATCCACCTCCATGACCCAAACACCTCTGAAGAGGCCCAACCTCCCACAATGGGGGTGAAATTTCAATGTGAGGTTTGAAAGGGTCAAACATCTCAACTAAAGTAGTTGTATCCTCAGCACGTTCTATGGTTACTATGAGAGCTATAATTGAGAAAGCAGGGGAAAGCTAGGTCTCCCGCCATTTGGGTGCTTGTCCTAAAGAGACGTTGTATGTGGTTACCTGCCAATCAAGAAATGCGAGACAATTCATAAAGAGGAACTGCTATGATTAGCTTCTTATTGGTGTCTCCTCTTCTTCCAGGTAACCCCAGACACCTACATGTTCTGATTGGGACCTCAGTGGTCAAAATCCCTTTCACCATCCTCCTCTTCTTTCTCCTTCATCGCTGGTGCTCCGACAAAAAAAGTAAGTCTCACGAAGCAGAGGCCAGAGAGCTCAGGGCCATGTGGGGAAGCAGGATGGGAGCACGCGGATGTGTGTTCCTCACCAGCAGGATGGTCCCTGGCCCAAGACAGGAGCCACAGAGGCAGGACTTTCTAGAGAGAGCACCAGATTCCCTTCCCCTGCCTTCAGCTCACAGACCATTGCCTGATTCTGAACTGTATCCTCACGTCCCCTGCAGCCACTCACATCCAGGAGAAGGTTCCATGACAGGCAGAAAGTGGGAGATAGAATCAATGGGATGGGACCTCAGAGCTATTCATGGGATGGGTCCTTGAACTCAGAGAGATAGAATGTCTGAGTCTGCTGTTGGCAACTGAGGGACCTCAGGCACCTATGGCCTCCCCCTGTTTGTTGGTATCTGCTTATGAAATGAGGACCCAGAAGTGCCCTCCGAGCTCTTTTGTTGACTTCCGTCTTCTACAGATGCTGCTGTAATGGACCAAGAGCCTGCAGGGAACAGAACAGTGAACAGCGAGGTAGGTGCTCCTCGGCCCAGCCTCGTGGCTAGTCTTATTCCCAAAGAGTCCTGAAAAATGTGAGCACCCTCCCTCACTCAGCATTTCCCTCTCTCCAGGATTCTGATGAACAAGACCATCAGGAGGTGTCATACGCATAATTGGATCACTGTGTTTTCACACAGAGAAAAATCACTCGCCCTTCTGAGAGGCCCAAGACACCCCCAACAGATACCAGCATGTACATAGAACTTCCAAATGCTGAGCCCAGATCCAAAGTTGTCTTCTGTCCACGAGCACCACAGTCAGGCCTTGAGGGGATCTTCTAGGGAGACAACAGCCCTGTCTCAAAACCGGGTTGCCAGCTCCCATGTACCAGCAGCTGGAATCTGAAGGCATCAGTCTTCATCTTAGGGCATCGCTCTTCCTCACACCACGAATCTGAACATGCCTCTCTCTTGCTTACAAATGTCTAAGGTCCCCACTGCCTGCTGGAGAGAAAACACACTCCTTTGCTTAGCCCACAATTCTCCATTTCACTTGACCCCTGCCCACCTCTCCAACCTAACTGGCTTACTTCCTAGTCTACCTGAGGCTGCAATCACACTGAGGAACTCACAATTCCAAACATACAAGAGGCTGCCTCTTAACACAGCACTTAGACACGTGCTGTTCCACCTCCCTTCAGACTATCTTTCAGCCTTCTGCCAGCAGTAAAACTTATAAATTTTTTAAATAATTTCAATGTAGTTTTCCCGCCTTCAAATAAACATGTCTGCCCTCATGGTTTCGGTAACGAGACTCTTTTCTTGCCTAAGGCTTCCGGTGTTATCATTACCATGTCCACATAACCCCATCTGTTCTCCATTGGGTTCTCAGCCCTGGACTCTGAGCTTCTGGAAGCAGAATGGAGCCTGATTTGTCTCTGAGACTCCAATTTCCATCCAAAGATACAGCACATAGGAGGCTCCAAGGATCGTGAATCACATGAACAAGTGATATTCTTACTCTCTGCAGACCTGGAAAGCTGGCAGAGTCATTCCACGATGAAACATTTGTAGAGTCATAGGCCTTGTTAGCCTCATCTCCACGGGGACACATATCAACATATCATCTTTCATAATATAAATATACAGTCGGTCCTCCATATCTGTGGGGTTTACAGGTGTTTATTGAACCAACAATAAATCAAAAATGTTTTCAGAAAAAAATCCCCGAAGTTTCAAGAAGCAAAAAACTATGTTGAATCGACACAAATTGAGTGGCGTGTAGGCTGTGTCAGGAATTATAAGTAATCAAGAGATGATTTCATGTATACAGGAGGATGTGCATGGGTTCTATGCAATTACTATGCTATTTTTTTTTTTTGAGACAGTCTCACTCTCTCACCCAGGCTGGAGTGCAGTGGCATGATCTCAGCTCACTGCAACCTCCGCCTCCCAGGTTCAAGCGATTGTCTTCCCTCAGCCTCCCCAGTAGCCTCCCCTAGGATTACAGGCACGTGCCACCATGCACAGATAAATTTTTTTGTGTGTGTATTTTTAGTAGAGATGGGGTTTCAGAATGTTGGACCAGCTGGTCTTGAACTCCTGACCTCGTGATCTACCCAACTCAGCCTCCCAAAGTGCTGGGATTACAGGCGTGAGCCACGGTGCCCAGCTTCGCTATGCCATTTCATGCAAGGGGCTTGAGCATCTGCAGATTTTGGTATCTGAATGGGGATCCTGGAACCAATCACCCAGGAATAGTGAAGGACCACAGTATATAATTTTTATTTGTCAATCTTAAAAATAAAGCATAAAAAGTTTACAACAACAAGATAAAAAATAAGAAGTGTTTTTATAGTGTGAGGATAAGTTTAGATTTATTTTTTCCTACGTGTAACCCTATGGTCCTGTGTTATTTATTGAGAAAATATTCTATTCCACCTTAAACTACATGGCAGCCTTTGTCAACTATGAAGGGACTGTGTATCCACAGATGTATTTTAGACACAGTTTTCTGCCCAGTGGTTCTCTGTATCCCCTCTCATGAGGATGCTGCATTTCATATAAACTTATAGAACCCCTTAAAATTTGGTAACCTGAGTTCTCTGATTTGTTATTATAGGTTATTTAGTTTGCTTTTTTTTTTCTTTCTTGAGACAGACTCTTCCTCTGTCACCCAAGCTGGAGTTCAGTGGCTTGAGCTCAGCTCACTGCAGCCTCCGCCTCCCAGGTTCAAGCAATTCTCGTGCCTCAGGTTTAGTACTAGAAACTCATCAGGAAAATTAGAATGGCTTTTTGTCACAATTACTCTGATAATGTTAATAATACCTCTTAGATATTTTGCACATTACACATGAAGAAAAGTTTGAATCTCAGATAAAAACAAAAATACATCAAAAGTCTTTAATGTAAGCACAGAATTCAATCACCTCATGTGTGAGAGGTTGGATCTGAGACGTCTTTTGAGTCTGGTCATAGTGAAGGATGCAAGGTGGCAATTGTAGTCACAACAATTTCCAGGAAGCCATGTTCCGCTCTTGAGCGAGCACCCACTGGGCCTCATGCAAGGTAGAAAGAGCCTGCGTACGTCACCCTCCCATGATGTGGTCAACATGTAAACTGCATGGGCAGGGCGCCAAATAACATCCTGTGCGCTGCTGAGCTGAGCTGGGGCGCGGCCTCCTGTCTGCACCGGCAGCACCATGTCGCTCACTGTCGTCAGCATGGCGTGCGTTGGTGAGTCCTGGAAGGGAATAGAGGGAGGGAGAGTGGGGATGGAGATCTCGGCCTAGAGGTAAAGATATGGGCCTGGAGTGGAGATATGGGCCTGGAGTGGAGATATGGGCCTGGGTGTGGAGATATGGGCCTGGAGGTGTAAATATGGGCCTGGAGTGGAGATATGGGCCTGGAGGGGAGATATGGGCCTGGGTGTGGAGATATGGGCCTGGAGTGGAGATACGGGCCTGGAGTGGAGATATGGGCCTGGAGTGGAGATATGGGCCTGCAGGTGGAGATCTGGGCCTGGAGTGGAGATATGGGCCTGGAGTGGAGATATGGGTCTGATGTGGAGATATGGGCCTGGAGTGGAGATATGGGCCTGGAGTGGAGATATGGGCCTAGAGGGGAGATCTGGGCCTGGAGTGGAGATATGGGTCTGATGTGGAGATATGGGCCTGGAGTGGAGATATGGGTCTGATGTGGAGATATGGGCCTGGAGTGGAGATAGGGGCCTGGAGTGGAGATATGGGCCTGGAGTGGAGATCTGGGCCAGGAAGTGTTGATCTGGGCCTGGAGCCTGGGTCTCTCCACAGCTGAGAGCCCTGTTCTTGGCAGCAGGTAGCAGGGAGGCTAAGTTTACCTTCAGCCCAGCAAGGGCCTGGCTGCCAAGACACACAGTGCAGTGGGGGCAGCAGGGTGCCCTGGTTTGCCTGCAGTTGGATCGTCTATCATGATCTTTCTTTCCAGGGTTCTTCTTGCTGCAGGGGGCCTGGCCACTCATGGGTGAGTCCTTCCCCAAACCTTAGGGTGTCATCTCCCCACATAAGAGGATTTTTCTGAAACAGGAGGGAAGTCCTGTCGGGGAGTCTCTCATAAACTAGGAAGAGGGGACCCTTGGATACTCGGCCCACATTTCTGACCTCGCCCTCCCCGGCCTTTCTTTCCCTTTCCTGAGTCAAGCTCTGTGAAGACTGGGGTGAGACTGGGGTGCTCCAAGCTGGGGTGTGCAGGGAGGAAGTGGTGTCAGCAGCAGAGAAAGAGAGGGAAGCAGTGCTAGGAACAGCAGGTCCTCTGAGGACAAAGGTATAACTGACACCCTCCAGCGTTTCCGTGACGGTAGGGACTGCAGTGTGGCTGCGGTCTTTCTACCAGAAGAGGGGGGAAACCACAGCCATGGCCCTGACATTCCAAATCCTCTGAGGGGGCTCAGTTCATGAATTGGCTGATATTCCATTCACATAGGACATGCCCTCCATGCCGTGTCTACTTTGTGTTGTTTTATGTGAGTAATTTTGCAGTATTAAAATCTAGTAAGAGTCACTTATTCAGCACTTGCTCAAAGTTCTCAGCTGACACTTGTTGTAGGGAGACGCCATGTCTATGTGGGGTGGGTCCTTCCTGTAGCCCTGGGCACCCAGGTGTGGTAGGAGCCTTAGAAAGTGGAAATGGGAGAATCTTCTGAGCACAGGGAGGGAGGGGTGGCTCCACATCCTCCTCTCTAAGGCAGTGCCTCCTTCTCCCCCAGGTGGTCAGGACAAACCCTTCCTGTCTGCCCGGCCCAGCACTGTGGTGCCTCGAGGAGGACACGTGGCTCTTCAGTGTCACTATCGTCGTGGGTTTAACAATTTCATGCTGTACAAAGAAGACAGAAGCCACGTTCCCATCTTCCACGGCAGAATATTCCAGGAGAGCTTCATCATGGGCCCTGTGACCCCAGCACATGCAGGGACCTACAGATGTCGGGGTTCACGCCCACACTCCCTCACTGGGTGGTCGACACCCAGCAACCCCCTGGTGATCATGGTCACAGGTCAGAGGCTTTCTGTCTGGGCTTCTCACTGTCCCACCTCCTGAATCCCAGAGCTTCTGGTGGGGGTGTCCATCAGGGTCCCATCACCCAGGCCCCAACTGTATTTGGGGTCAAGGGGGATTGAATACAGGGGAAATGGGCGCTGTGGTGGGAAGAATCACTGTCGCCAATGATGGCTACATTGTAAACCCTGGAGCCTGTGACTATTTATGTTATAGGGCAGGGGACTGAAGGGGAAGGTGGAGCTCAGGTTGTTGATGAGTTGACCTTGAGATGGGGAGACAGCCTGGACTGTCCTGCTGGGCTCAGTGTAATCACAAGGGTCCGCGTGAGAGGTGGAGGAAGAGGGGAGTGGGGATTAGAGCAGTGTAGTGGGAGGGAGACGCTATCAGCCACTGTGGGCTTTGAAGGTGGAGGAAGGCCACTAGTCACAGAATGCAGGTGGCCTCTAAGGGCTGGAGAAGTCAAGAGAACTGATTCGCTGAGTCTCCAGAGGGAACGCAGCCCTGCAGATGCCTTGATTTCAGCACAGGGAGAACTGGATCCAATTTCTGTCCCCAGAAGTGGAAGGGGTCAGTGTGTTCTCTCCTGCTGCCATGTTTGTGATAATTTTCTGCAGCAGCAACAGGAAACCGACACAGGAACCCAGGTCAAGGACAAGCTAGGAAACCAAACAAGGATAGCCAGGTGTGGTGGTGGGCACGAGTAATCCAACGACTGGGGAGGCTGAGGCAAGAGAATCACTTGAACCGGGGAGGCAGAGGTTGCAGTGAGCCAAGACAACACCACTGCACTCCAGCCTGGGTGAAAAAGTGACTGTCTCAAAAATAAATTAATTAATCAATTAATTAAAGAAACCAAACAAGGAGAAGGTTGGCTACCGTGGGATCAGCAAGGGTGGGATGCTGATGCCACCACCAGGCTCCATCCACATAGGAAGGGGTTGATGCTCCTGGAACCAGCACCAGGGACCACCCTATGGAAGCTGGGGCCATGGAGAAGGCACAGACATGGCAGGAGAGGCTCCCAATCCCCATCAGGAACAGGGTGTGTGGACACTGATGTCTGCCTTACTGATGAGTTGATACCTCTGCCAGAGACTCCAATTTGTTCAAAAGAGATTGATTCAGGCTGCTGAGAGCCTGGACATGCAGCCTGTCCTCTTCCACCCCCACATAGACAGCAGGAAAGAGACTAGTGGGAAAGAGATACAACAGCCCAAGAGATGAGGCTCTCTTCACAGTGGGAAGGGAGTCAGGGGCTACTGGAGACAGAGGGACAGAGAAGAGGGAGGAAGACAAATGGAGGGACCTGCACCAGGGGATATGGGCACAGAAAAGACACGGAGACACAGAGAGGGAGGAGAGAGACAGACCTCTGGGAGGGGAACCCTCACTCATTCCAGGTGCCATGGATGGGATGATAAAGAGAGATGCCTTCTAAACTCACAACTTCTCTTTCTAGGAAACCACAGAAAACCTTCCCTCCTGGCCCACCCAGGGCCCCTGCTGAAATCAGGAGAGACAGTCATCCTGCAATGTTGGTCAGATGTCATGTTTGAGCACTTCTTTCTGCACAGAGAGGGGATCTCTGAGGACCCCTCACGCCTCGTTGGACAGATCCATGATGGGGTCTCCAAGGCCAACTTCTCCATCGGTCCCTTGATGCCTGTCCTTGCAGGAACCTACAGATGTTATGGTTCTGTTCCTCACTCCCCCTATCAGTTGTCAGCTCCCAGTGACCCCCTGGACATCGTGATCACAGGTGAGAGTGTCCAGACATTCTTCTCATTGTCATTGGGACACAGAGTGAATGATCCAGGACTTGGAACCCCCAGGTGGTCATGAGGAAGATAAGCGTGGGATTCTTATGGAGAGAGACTGACTCGGTGAGGTCTGTACCAACAGAGACAGGGAAACAGGAGACATAAGTACAGACCAGGTGTCATAACAGAGGACAGACACAGGGGCCATACGGGGAAGTAGAAAAGAGAGAAAGAGGTAAAGGAGACACTCAGACAGACAGACATGTGCCAGAGAGAAGTGTCCTTCCATGCTGACTTTGCTCAGAGACCTGGCACAGGTTAGAAGTTTCATTTCTGTTTTGTCTCCACAAAGTGCTTCTACGAGGAGAACCCAAGGACACCCATATTTCTGACCTGAGTTGGGCCCTGTGGCCTCAGGCCTTGTGGCATCTACAGATGCCATGTTTATTCTGACACCTCTGCCTTCCATGCAGTGGAGCCATAATTATCCCAGGATATCATGGCCCCAGAACACCAACCCCTAAATACTGTGTGTACTTGGTGTCCCCAGACTAGATTCTGAGGCTCATATTCCAAATAATCCTACATATAATAGGATCACTGAGAGACACAGAGATAAATCAGGGACTTCAAAAAGCAAAGGCATAAACACACAGAGAATGAGCCAGAGGAAGGGGATTGAGAGACTCACAGACACACAAAAAGAAAGAAAAGAGGGCAGAGGAGTGGAGAGAATGCTGGAAGGGAGGAGAGAAAAGCCCCAAAATCAGAACCCTGAGGGAGGGGCACAAAGACAGAGAAAGATAAAGATGTGGGGATGGATTGCAGAGATTCCAAATAGAACTAGAGAGACTGAGAGGCAGAGAAAGACAAGGAGATGGAGAGAGACAGATGATAGATGGATAGATAGATATAGATAGATGATAAATAGGTAGATGATAGATAATGGATAGGTTATAGATACATAGATGATGATTGATAGATGATACATAGAGATGATGATGATGATGATGATGAAGATAGATAGATAGAAGACACATATATAAATATATAGATACATAGATGATACATAGAGACTGACAGGCAGACAGAGAGGTAATAGAGAGAGAGAGAGATGATACATAGATACAGATAATACATAGATGATTGATGGATAGACAGATAGACAATTGATAGATAAATGATACATAGATATAGATGACAGATAATTTGTAGATAGACACAAAATAGATAGATAGATAATAGATAGAAATATGCAGAAAGTTATGAACAAGACAGAAAGTGAGAGACTCAGAATTATAGAAAAAGGAAGATCAAGTCAACCAATCCAAGGAGAGTCAGAGAGAATAAAACAATCCAAAAAGGGAAAGCATACCCAGGGGTGGGGAAGTGAGGTCAGAGACCTAGAGAGACAGAGAAGGCGGAAGGAGGAAATAGACATGAAGAGAGTTGGGGTGGAGGGTGAGAGAGAGAGAGAGCATTAGGTCATAGAGCAGGGGAGTGAGTTCTCAGCTCAGGTATGAGGGGAGCTGTGACAAGGAAGAACCTCCCTGAGGAAACTGCCTCTTCTCCTTCCAGGTCTATATGAGAAACCTTCTCTCTCAGCCCAGCCGGGCCCCACGGTTCAGGCAGGAGAGAACGTGACCTTGTCCTGTAGCTCCTGGAGCTCCTATGACATCTACCATCTGTCCAGGGAAGGGGAGGCCCATGAACGTAGGCTCCGTGCAGTGCCCAAGGTCAACAGAACATTCCAGGCAGACTTTCCTCTGGGCCCTGCCACCCACGGAGGGACCTACAGATGCTTCGGCTCTTTCCGTGACCTGCCCTGCGTGTGGTCAAACTCAAGTGACCCACTGCTTGTTTCTGTCACAGGTGAGGAAAACCCGTGTCTGTCCCATGTCTTATGATCCTAGAGCCATAGCTGAGGAGCTTCCTGCCGATGATGGGGAGAAGCATGGACAGATGCAGAGAGAACACGAAGACTGGGTGTGAGGGGGGGGTCAGGGTGCAGGATGGCAGACAGGGCACCTCCAAACCCTCTTGCATGGCCTGCATGGAGGCCCATGGTCAGGGCTCCAGGCACCCAGGCAGATGGAGAAAGCGGTCAGGACAGACCCAGAGAAGGGGAGACTGGGCTCAGTTTGGGGAGATCAGAGGTTCCCTCAGCCCCTCAACCTTACCCATTTCCCAGAAGCCCATCCTGGCCTCTCACCCACACAGAGAGATGTCATCACCAGCAACCCCTACACTCTTTTCTTTTCATTTTCAAAAATATTTATTGAGGTTAAATGTAACTATATAATTTACCAACTTTACCATTTTTAAAAGTAAAATCTAGTGGTCATAAATACCTTTATATGCTGGGTGTGGTGGTTCACGGTTGTAATCTTGGCGCTTTGAGAGGCCAAGAAAGGTGGATCATTTAAGATCAGGGACTCGAGATCAGCCTGGCCAACATGCGGGAAATTCATCTTTACTAAACAGACAAGAAAAATTAGCCAAGCATGCCGGCATGCACCTGTAGTCCTAGCTACTTGGGAGGCTGAGGCAGGAGAAGCACTTAAAGCCAGGAGGCAGAGGTTGCACTGAGCCGAGATCATGCCACTGCACTGCAGCCTGGGAGACAGAGAGAGACTCTGTTTCTAAATAAATAAATACATCTATATTCTTTTTTTTGTTACCCTCCACCCTTCCCTTCCTGGCCTCTGGTATCCACCATTCTATTCTCTACCTTCATGAGATCCACCTTTTATCTCCTGCATGTGGTGAGAAATGGGAATCTTTGTAATGACCTCCAGTTCCATCCATGTGGCTGCAAATGACAGGATGTTATTGTTTCTATGGATGAGTAGTCTCCACCGTGTGTGTGTACTACAGTTCTCTATCCATTCACCCACTGATAGGCAGGTAGGTTGACTCCACATCTTGGCTACTGTGAACAGTGCTGGAACAGTCATATGAGTGCAGATATCACTTCGATACACTGATGTCCTTTCCTTTGGATATAAACCCAGTAGTGAAATTGCTGGACACTATGAAAGTTCTCTTTTTTTTTTTTCTTTTTTGAGAAAGAGTTTCCCTCCTTAGTCCAAGCTGGAGTCAAAGTGGTGCGATCTTGGCTCATTGCAACCTCTGCTTCCTAGGTTCAAACGATTCTCCTGACTCAGCCTCCCTAATAGCTGTGATTACAGGTGCACGCCACCATGCCTGACTAATTCTTGTATTTTTTAGCACAGACGGGATATCCCAATTTTGGGCAGGCTGCTCTCAAACTCCTGACCTCAAGTGAGGTGCCTGCCTCGGTTTCCCAAAGTGCTGAAGTTACAGGCATAAGCCACTATGCCCAGCCTCCTTTTAGTTTTTTAAAGTTTTTCCATACTTTTCTCCATAATAGTTGTACTAATTTACATTCCTACCAACAGGGTACCAGGGTTCTCCTTTCTCTACCATCTTGCCAGCATTTGTTTTGCCTGTCTTGCAGATAAAAGCCATTTTACTTTATTTATTTATTTATTTATTTATGTTGAGATGGAGTTTCACTCATAGTCGCCCAGGCTGGAGTGCAAGGGTGTGATCTCGGCTCACTGCAACCTCTGCCTCCCGCGTTCAACTGATTCTCCTGCCTCAGCCTCCAAAGTAGCTGGGATTACAGGCGTGTGCCACCACGCCTAGCTAATTTTTGTATGTTTAGTAGAGAGGGAGTTTCTCCATGTTGGTCAGGCTGGTCTCCCGACCTCAGGTGATCCGCCCACCTCCGCCTCCCAAAGTGCTGGAATTACAGGCGTGAGCCACCGGCCTAAAAGGCATTTTAATGGGATGAGATGAAAACTCATCGCGATTGTAATTTACATTTCTGTGATGATGAGTGATGCTGAGCACTTTTTCATATACGTGATCGCCATTTCTATGTTTTGTTTGTGGAGAAATGTCTCCTCATGTCTTTTGCTCGTTTTTTAATTAAATTGTTTTATTGAGTTGTTTGAGCTTCTTATATTTCCAGTTATTAATCCCATCTCAGATGAATAGTTTGCAAATATTTGCTCCTATTTTGTGGGTTGTCTCTTCACTTTGTTGGTTTATCTTTGGTGGTGCAGAAGTTGCTTGGTTTGATGTAATCCTAATGGTCTATTTTTTGCTTTGATTACTTGTGTTTTGAAGGTTTTAAACAAAATGTCTTTCGTCAGACAAATGTCTTCCCCATTATTTTCTTCTACATGTTTCATAGGTTCAGGCCTTAGACTCATGTTTTTAATCCATTTTCATTTGATTTTTGTGTAAGGTGACAGGTATAGATGCAGTTTTATTCCTCTGCATGTAGATATCCAGTTTTCCCCACACCATTTATTGAAGACTGTCCTTTCTTGATTGTAAGTTCTCGGCACCTTTGTCAAAGTCCATTAAATGGGCTGGGCATGGTGGCTCACACCTGCAATTCCAGCACTTTGGGAGGCCGAGGCGGGTGGATCACCTAAAGCCAGGAGTTCAAGACCAGGCTGGCCAACAGAGTGAAACCTCGTCTCTACTAAAAATACAAAAATTAGCTGAGCATGGTGATCAGTGCCTGTAATACCACTACTCAGGAGTTTGAAGCAAGAGAATTTCTTGAATCCAGGAAGTGGAGGTTGCATTGAGCTGAGATTGCACCTCTACACTCCAGCCTGCATGACAGAGCAAGATTCCATCACACACACACAAAAGAAAGCCATTGGATGTAAATGCATGGATTATATCTGTGTTCTCCATTCTGTTCCATTTTTTATGTGCCTTTCTTTATGCCAATGTCATGCTGTTTTGCTTACTACAGCTCTGTAACATATTTCTAAGTCAGGTAGTGTGATGCTCCTGTTTTCTCTTTATACCTTCAAGTCTCAAGACAGTGGGCATCGCACACAAAAATTATGGAGAAAAGGATCCCAAGACTCCCAGGGTCCAACATTAGATAACAGAGTGTTGGCCATGAACCAACCTCAAAGATTTCCATTGAGTAGAGGACAAGCACCCTCATTTCCTCACATCTCTCCTGTCCCGTGTTCTAGGAAACCCTTCAAGTAGTTGGCCTTCACCCACAGAACCAAGCTCCAAATCTGGTGAGTAAAGGACCCCTCTTATCTCTGCTTTTGGAAACCTGGGGAGGTGGAAGCCTTGGATGCAAGTGTTGGCTCAAACCTCCCAGCTCTGTGAATGAGGGCCTGTCTTCCACCATCTCTGAACTCCAGACACTCCAACAGTGAAAGGGATCTAGGGCCACCAAAGGGCTCAGCGAAGTCTCTTTACCTTTAATTTCCTGCAGGTGAGACCTCCTACAAGCTAGAAGAATAATTGCCAATCTGACATCCTTCTCAGGAAACATGCAGTGTTTTTTCTGCCTGCATTCCTAACTGGAGGATAAATTCCCGGGGGCTTGAGAGAGGGAAGGGAAGGGAACATCTGATGAGGGTGGGTGTTTTAGAGAAGTTCCACTTGCCAAGGAATGAATTACTGTTGGTCATCAGGCAACCCTGGCTGACTCAGCAGAGCAAGAGCCTTGCCGTAACAGAGAACAGAGCTCATGCACGCACACTTCGACTCACTGACTCATTCAGCCACAGCCCCATGCTCAGGCTGTGCAGTGTGGAAGCTTTTCCTATTGTTGCCATAACAAATTTCCACAAGATTCGTGGGTGAAAACAAAACGGTTATTTAATTATCTTACAGTGCTGTAGCTCAAAGCATGACGTGCATGTCACTGGGCTAAAATCAAGGTGACAGCAAGGCTGCCTTCCCTCTGAGGGTTCCAGGCAAGAATCTGCTTCTCACTTTTCTCAGCTTCTAGAGGCTCCCATGTTCCTTGGCTCCTGGTACCCTTCCTCCTTCCTCAAAGCCCACAAAGACTGGTCACATCTCACATGGCATCACTCAGACCCTTCTTCCTTACCACACCTCTTTCTCTGAATGCTGCTCTCCCTTCTTCCCCTTCTTTTGAAAACTTGGGGATTCTATTGGGTTCACCAAGATGAAAATCCATCATAATCTCCCGGAAATCATCCAGGATACCCTCCTTTTAAGTTCAGCTGACTAGCAACCATAATTCCATCTGCAATCTTCATTCCTCCTTTCATGTAAAATAACATATTCACAAGCTATGGAGGCTAGGACATGGACATTTTTGGGGTGGGACAACATTCTCCTGCCTTCCACAAACAGTGAACAAGATGCATTTGGCCTCTGTTCTTGGGACACTGATCTTGCAGATGGTTAAATGGGAGGGCAGAAAATGTAGGCACAAGGGGACCAATAAATGAATGATCTATTGAGAAGCATCTGTGCATGAAATCTATTTATTTATGTATTTACCTACTTGTTTATTGAGACGGAGCCTTGCTCTGTCGTCCAGGCTAGAGTGCGGTGGCATGATCTCGGCTCACTGCAACCTCCACCTCCTGGGCTGAACGGATCTCCTCCCTCAGCCTCTCCAGTAGCTGGGATTACAGACCACAACCACCACGCCCGGCTAACTCTTTTTGCATATTTTCTGTAGAGAGGATGTTTCACCATGTTGGCCAGGCTGGTCTCAAATTCCCAACCTCAGGTGATCCAATAGCCTCTGCCTCCCAACACGCTGGGATAAGAGGCATGAGCCACGGGGCCAAGCCAAATTTTCAAATCAATAATAGATAATGCTGAGTGTATGATTTCAGGTGACAGAGAAGTTCTCACTAATCAGATATTTGTGACATTAATGAAAAACACGGATTGAACCCCTGAAAGATGGGCGGAAGGATTTTGCACACACAGCTGTCAGCCGTGAAGGCACAAAGGTGAAAATAATCTGATGTTGAAGGAAGAGGCTCTGCCTCAAATGCTGGGAATGACGTGGGGAGAATGACAAGACGACTGTAGAGAGACGGAGAGCACACTGGGTACACAGGAAACTAAGGAGCAACAAGGAGTGTGTGTTTGACACTCACAGCCATTGGACTCACCTCGGGGTAACCAGGAATCCCTACATGATTAATATGACTGACATGAAAATAAGGGAGGCCCAGGTGCGTAACTGGAATCTAGGAGACCGTGGAAAAGGCAATTCCCGCCCCACTGGTGAAATGTGGTGCTGATTTAGACACTAAATGAATGAAGTAGATGGATATAAGATATGTTTGTGAGGTAGAATCATTGGCTGGAAAGGCTTGCTGGGTTTGATTTTTTCCTGGTAGTTTAATCCTCGCTTCACTAACTTATTTCTGAGATTTATTTCTCCTGCATCTAAATCAATACCTGGCAGAGGAGGGAGAGCTAGATGAGGGGTGGTGCAAATGAAGGGACCTAGTATAGCATAATATACAAGGCTGTGAACGGTGGCTCACGCCTGTAACCCAGCACTTCAGGAGGCCAACGCGGGTGGATCACATGAAGTCAGGAGTTCGAGACCAGCCTGGCCAACATGGAGAAACCCTATCTCTACTAAAAATACAAAAATTAAACAGGCATGATGGTGGTGCATGACTGTAATCCCAGCTACTCTGGAGGAGGAAGCAGGAGAATGACTTCAGCCCTGGAGGCAGAGGTTGCAGTGAGTGGAGATCGCGTCACTGCACACCAGCCTGGGCTACACAGGGATACTCTGGCTCAAAAAATAAAAATAAAAAATACATAAATATAATAATATACACAAATGATGCAGGCACCTGAATTCCAATCATCATTTTTCTATTTCTCTATAATTACTTCTTTGATCCTTTATCTTATCCATTAGAAAATCAGCCTAAAACCTCTTCCATATTTGGCTTTCTGTGAACATGAGATCATATGGAAAATATGAAAGCCCCCTGAACCCACCAGCACAGGCCCTGAAATAGGGAAAGTGCTCTGTTCATCACAAGAAACTTGCCCCCTCACCCAAATCCCCCACCTCACCCCTACTTCCAATCACCTGTGGAGATACAGATAGATCATGGGGAGGTAAACGCTAATACTCCTTGGAGTGAGTTCAGATCTTGGAATCAGAGATCAGCACCAGCACTAGCTCCTGCTCCCCTTTCCTACTAATTCACAGGAGGACAGGTGGTTTTGAAGCAATAGATGGTGGAGGGGGTGGTCTTTCCCCCAGCCTCTCAGGTGGAACAGCAGCCTAACATGTGTCTCGCGAGATCACAAAGAGTAGCACGTTTCACATGGGCTTCATCATTATTTCCTGGCTGTTTGACATAAGAGAATTCTACTTTGCTTTTTTGATCTTGATTTCACTTTTGTGTCCTTTTCTTGGAGAATGTAATTTGAGTCAAGAGGGTTGTGGATGTAGAAACTGTAAAGCACATTCACTGTGTATCAATCCCAGTTCAGTCTTTCCAGAGAAGACTCTAAACACCTGCTGTACTGCACCTGGGCCTATGCAAATTTCTATCACTCACCGTCACTCCAGGGAGACAGAACACACAGAGAATACGTTACATAGGCAGGTTCATTACTAACAGATAAGCAGCGAGTGACAACAGAAGCCTACATTTCAATGTGAGCCAGTCCCTCAAGGCTCAGAAAAGCTTCTCGGGACATATGGAGTCACCTCATTTGCAGTGTATCTGGGGGAAGCCAGAAAATAGCCCAGCCTGGGTTTTGTACCCTGAAGCCACAGGAAGCACTCAGCTAAAGCACTGCATGACGTCCTCCTCCAGGAAGAACAGGAAGACAGCACAGGCTGTTCTGAGACGTTCCTCCTGATCTCAGGACGTTGCTGTCTTAGTCCATTTTTGTTGCTATAAAAGAACACTTGAGCCTGGGTTACTTCTTTTTTTTTTTTTTTTTTTGTATAGTGCTTCTGATGAGCTTTTTTTTTAAATTTTTATTATTATTATACTTTAAGTTTTAGGGTACATGTGCACAATGTGCAGGTTAGTTACATATGTATACATGTGCCATGCTGGTGTGCTGCACCCATCAACTCGTCATTTAGCATTAGGTATATCTCCTAATGCTATCCCTCCCCCCTCCCCCCACCCAACAACAGTCCCCAGAGTGTGATGTTCCCCTTCCTGTGTCCATGTGTTCTCATTGTTCAATTCCCACCTATAAGTGAGAACATGCAGTGTTTGGATTTTTGTCCTTGTGATAGTCTACTGAGAATGATGATTTCCAATTTCATCCATGTCCCTGCAAAGGACATGAACTCATCATTTTTTATGGCTGCATAGTATTCCATGGTGTATATGTGCCACATTTTCTTCATCCAGTCTATCATTGTTGGACATTTGGGTTGGTTCCAAGTCTTTGCTATTGTGAATAGTGCCACAATAAACATACGTGTCCATGTGTCTTTATAGCAGCATGATTTATAGTCCTTTGGGTTTATACCCAGTAATGGGATGGCTGGGTCAAATGGTATTTCAAGCTCTAGATCCCTGAGGAATCGCCACACTGACTTCCACAATGGTTGAACTAGTTTACAGTCCCACCAACAGTGTAAAAGTGTTCCTATTTCTCCACATCCTCTCCAGCACCTGTTGTTTCCCGACTTTTTAATGATCGCCATTCTAACTGGTGTGAGATGGTATCTCATTGTGGTTTTGATTTGCATTTCTCTGATGGCCAGTCATGGTGAGCATTTTTTCATGTGTTTTTTGGCTGCATAAATGTCTTCTTTTGAGAAGTGTCTGTTCATGTCCTTTGCCCACTTTTTGATAGGATTGTTTGTTTTTTTCTTGTAAATTTGTTTGAGTTCATTGTAGATTCTGGATATTAGCCCTTTGTCAGATGAGTAGGTTGCGAAAATTTTCTCCCATTTTGTAGGTTGTCTGTTCACTCTGATGGTAGTTTCTTTTGCTGTGCAGAAGCTCTTTAGTTTAATTAGATCCCGTTTGTCAATTTTGGCTTTTGTTGCCGTTGCTTTTGGTGTTTTAGACATGAAGTCCTTGTCCATGCCTATGTCCTGAATGGTAATGCCTAGGTTTTCTTCTAGGGTTTTTATGGTTTTAGGTCTAACGTTTAAGTCTTTAATCCATCTCAAATTAATTTTTGTATAAGGTGTAAGGAAGGGATCCAGTTTCAGCTTTCTACCTATGGCTAGCCAGTTTTCCCAGCACCATTTATTAAATAGGGAATCCTTTCCCCATTGCTTGTTTTTCTCAGGTCTGTCAAAGATCACATAGTTGTAGATATGTGGCATTATTTCTGAGGGCTCTATTCTGTTCCATTGATCTATATCTCTGTTTTGGTACCAGTACCATGCTGTTTTGGTTACTGTAGCCTTGTAGTATAGTTTGAAGTCAGGCAGCATGATGCCTCCAGCTTTGTTCTTTTGGCTTAGGATTGACTTGGCAATGCAGGCTCTTTTTTGATTCCATATGAACTTTAAGGTAGTTTTTTCCAATTCTGTGAAGAAAGTCATTGGTAGCTTGATGGGGATGGCATTGAATCTATAAATTACCTTGGGCAGTATGGCCATTTTCACGATCTTGATTCTTCCTACCCATGAGCATGGAATGTTCTTCCATTTGTTTGTATCCTCTTTTATTTCATTGAGCAGTGGTTTGTAGTTCTCCTTGAAGAGGTCCTTCATATCCCTTGTAAGTTGGATTCCTAGGTATTTTATTCTCTTTGAAGCAATTGTGAATGGGAGTTCACTCATGATTTGGCTCTCTGTTTGTCTGTTATTGGTGTATAAGAATGCTTGTGATTTTTGTACATTGATTCTGTATCCTGAGACTTTGTAGAAGCTGCTTATCAGCTTAAGGAGATTTTGGGCTGAGACAATGGGGTTTTCTAGATATACAATCATGTCATCTGCAAACAGGGACAATTTGACTTCCTCTTTTCCTAATTCAATACCCTTTATTTCCTTCTCCTGCCTAATTGCCCTGGCCAGAACTTCCAACACTATGTTGAATAGGAGTGGTGAAAGAGGGCATCCCTGTCTTGTGCCAGTTTTCAAAGGGAATGCTTCCAGTTTTTGCCCATTCAGTATGATACTGGCTGTGGGTTTGTTATAGATGGCTCTTATTATTTTGAGATACGTCCCATCAATGCCTAATTTATTGAGAGTTTTTAGCATGAAGTGTTGTTGAATTTTGTCAAAGGCCTTTTCTGCATCTATTGAGATAATCGTCCGGTTTTTGTCTTTGGTTCTGTTTATATGATGGATTACATTTATTGATTTGCATATATTGAACCAGCCTTGCATCCCAGAGCCTGGGCAACTTCTAGAGAAAACAGATTTGTTTGCCTCACAGTTCTGCAGGCTGTACTGGAAGCATGGCACCAGCATCTGTTTCCTGTGACGGCCTCAGGCTGCTCCCACTCTGGCAGAAGGGAAGGAGGGTCTGTCTGTGCAGAGACCACAGAGATCACATGGCAAGAGAGGGAGCAAGGGGGAGGGCGAGCGATGGAGCTTCCAAGCTCTTTTTAACAACCAGCCCTCCGGGAACTAATAGAGGGGGAACTTGCTAACCCCATCATGTGGGGCAGCATTAATCTATTCATGATGGATCCACCTCCATGACTCAAACACCTTCCCATAGGCCCAAACTTCCACACTGGGGGTTAAATTTCAATATTTCAGTGTGAGGTTTCAAAGGGTCAAACATCTAAACTAAAGCAGCTGTATCCTCAGCATGTTCTATGGTTTCTATGAGAGCTGTAACTGAGAAAGCAGGAGAAAGCTGGGTCTCCCGCCATCAGGCTGCTTGTCCTAAGGAGATGTTCCATGTGGTTACCTGTCAATCAAGAAATGAGACAATCCATAAAGAGGAACTGCTATGATTAGCTTCTTATTGGATTCCCATCTTCCTCCAGGTATCTGCAGACACCTGCATGTTCTGATTGGGACCTCAGTGGTCATCTTCCTCTTCATCCTCCTCCTCTTCTTTCTCCTTTATCGCTGGTGCTCCAACAAAAAGAGTAAGTCTCACGAAGCAGAGGCCAGAGAGCTCAGGGCCATGTGGGGAAGCAGGATGGGAGCACGCGGGTGTGTGTTCCTCACTGGCAGGATGGTCCCTGGCCCAAGGGAGGAGCCACAGAGGCAGGGCTTTCTAGAGAGAGCACCAGACAACCTGCCCCTGCCTTCAGCTCACAGACCATTGCCTGGTTCTGAACTGTATCCTCACATCCCCTGCAGCCACTGACATCCAGAAGCTTCCATGACAGGCAGAAAGTGGGAGACAGAATCAATGGGATGCCAATTGAGAGCACTTCATGGGATGGGGTCTTGAACTCAGAGAGATAGAATGTCTGAGTCTGGATGTTGGCAGCTGAAGAGCCTCAGGCACCTACAGCCTCCCCCTGTGGGTTGGTGTCTGCCCATGAAATGAGGACCCAGAAGGGCCCTCCAAGCGGTTTTGATGACTTCCGTCTCCTACAGATGCTGCTGTAATGGACCAAGAGCCTGCGGGGGACAGAACAGTGAATAGGCAGGTAGGTCCTCCTCGGCCCAGCCTCACGGATACAGTCTTATCCCTAATAGTCCTGAAAAATGTGAGCACCCTCCCTCACTCAGCATTTCCCTCTCTCCAGGACTCTGATGAACAAGACCCTCAGGAGGTGATGTACGCACAGTTGGATCACTGCGTTTTCATACAGAGAAAAATCAGTCGCCCTTCTCAGAGGCCCAAGACACCCCTAACAGATACCAGCGTGTACACGGAACTTCCAAATGCTGAGCCCAGATCCAAAGTTGTCTCCTGCCCACGAGCACCACAGTCAGGTCTTGAGGGGGTTTTCTAGGGAGACAACAGCCCTGTCTCAAAACCAGGTTGCCAGATCCAATGAACCAGCAGCTGGAATCTGAAGGCATCAGTCTGCATCTTAGGGGATCGCTCTTCCTCACACCACGAATCTGAACATGCCTCTCTCTTGCTTACAAATGCCTAAGGTCGCCACTGCCTGCTGCAGAGAAAACACACTCCTTTGCTTAGCCCACAAGTATCTATTTCACTTGACCCCTGCCCACCTCTCCAACCTAACTGGCTTACTTCCTAGTCCTACTTGAGGCTGCAATCACACTGAGGAACTCACAATTCCAAACATGCAAGAGGCTCCCTCTTAACACGGCACTTACACACTTGCTGTTCCACCTTCCCTCATGCTGTTCCACCTCCCCTCAGACTATCTTTCAGCCTTCTGTCATCAGTAAAATTTATAAATTTTTTTTATAACTTCAGTGTAGCTCTCTCCTCTTCAAATAAACATGTCTGCCCTCATGGTTTCGATAATGTGACTCTTTATTCGCCAAAAGTTTCCAGTGTTATCATTACTATGTCCATATAACCTGATATGTTCTCTACTGGGTTCTCAGCCCTGGACTCTGAGCTTCTGGAAGCAGGGTGGAGCCTCATTTGTCTCTGGGACTCCAATTTCCATCCAAAGATGCAGCACATAGGAGGTTCCAAGGATCGTGAATCACATGAACAAGTGATATTCTTACTCTCTGCAGACCTGGAAAGCTGGCAGAGTCATTCCAAGATGAAACATTTGTAGAGTCATAGGCCTTGTTAGTCTCATCTCCACAGGGACACATGTCAACACATCATCTTTCATACTATAAATATACAGTCGCTCCTCCATATCTGTGGGGTTTACAGGTGTTTATTGAACCAAATATAAATCAAAAATATTCAGAGAAAAAATCCACAAAGTTCCAAAAAGCAAAAATACTATATTGTGTGGACACAAGTGAGGTGGTGTGTAGGCTGTATCAGGAATTATAAGTAATCTAGAGATGATTTCATGTATACAGGAGGATGTGCATGGGTTATATGCAAATGCTGTGCCATTTCATGCAACAGGCTTGAGCATCTGCAGATTTTGGTGTCTGGTAGGGAGGGGGGTTTCCTGGAACCAATCACCCATGAATAGTGAAGGACTACTGTATATAATTTTCATTCATCAATTTTATAAATAAATCATCAAAATGTATGATAATAAGATAAAAAATTAGCAGTGTTTTTATGGTGTGAAAATAAGCTTAGATTTATTTTTTCCTGCTTGTAACCCTCTGGTCCAATGTTATTTACTGAGAAGACATTCTATTCCACCTTAATCCGCATGGCAGCCTCTGTCAACTATAAAAGGACTGTGTGTACACAGATGTATTTTACACACTCTTTTCTGCTCAGTGGCTCTCTGTGTCCACTCTCATGAGGATGCTGCACTTTATGTGGCCTTATAGAACCCCTTAAAATTTGGCAGCCTGAATCCTCTAATTTCTCCTTCCTCTTTAAGATTGCCATTATTATTATTATTGGCTATTTGCTTTTCCATGTAAATTTGTAATCATTTTTCTCATTTCCACCAAAAACAATGCTTGTAATTTTGTTGTGACTCCCTTACATCTACAGGTAAGTTCTGTCCTATAGAAACATAATGCAAACCACATGCATTCTTTCAAACTTGCTAGTATCCAAATTAAAAAGCTAACAAGAAACAGATAAAATTAATTTAAGTTAACCCAATGGACCCAAAATATTATTAACCCAACAGACCCAAAATATTAACCTAATAGATCCAAAATATTATTTTATTATACAAGTAGACTCAAAATATTATCATTTCAACATGTAATCATGTGTCATCTTGGAAAACATCAGATCCCTGTCTAGGTGGGCAAAGATTTTTCTTCGTAATATCTCATTTCCACATTTCCACTTGGCACAGAAACTGCCCCCAAGGCTCAGGATACTAAGATGCAGTAGGAATGGGTAGATGTATCTGGAGGAAAGTGACTGAATGAAATTGAGACATCAGAGTCTGGGGAACTCACTAGAACTACAGGGACAGTGTGGGGGAGGGAATTGGGAGATGTTGATCAAAGGATACAAACTATCAGGTATTCAGGAGGAATGGGTCTGAAGATCTCTTGTACAGCTTTGCCACTATGGTTGACAATACTGTACTCTATACTTGAAATTTACCAGGAAAGTAGATTTTTTTTTTTAAATATGGAACACTTCACGAATTTGCGTGTCATTCTTGCGCAGGGGCCATGCTAGTTTTCTCTGTATCGTTCCAATTTTAGTATATGTGCTGCCGAGGCAAGCAT